>NC_000012.12:30902028-31054723 GCF_000001405.40 Homo sapiens | reverse complement strand
AGGGTTGGCAGCTGCTGATGATTTTCTCTATCTTGAATGTTGTAAGTGCTTTTCCCAGGAGAGCCAGATAGCCATGGTGTGTCAGGAGAGGTCTCAGAATGAGACTTATGAAGTGAAGATGAACAATGACACAGAGGCCTGCAGTGAGCCCAGTCTGCTCTCCACAGAGATGTGAGCTCTGCTGTCCTCTGCCCAGGATGGCCTGGGTGTGGAGATGGGTCTGGGGAGGCAGGGGCAGGTCCTCAAGATCCCTCCTCTGGGCATGATTTGTAGGAGGAGGGGAGATCACAGAGAAAAAACCTGCACAGCCTCTGTCATCTTCTTAGTGGAATGGGGGCCCCCATCTCTCTTTTTCACACACACACACACGCGCACACGCACACACACACACAGCCCTTTTTAGTTTGGCCTTTCCTGACTGGGAAAACATCTAAACATGGTTTCTTAAACTTTTTAGGCTGTAACCAACAGACATAAATGTATTTTCTGGTGACACTTAGTGCACAAATACATATATTGACAAACAAGTGTTTCGTGACACTACTGTAAAATAAAGCTGCCCAGAAGAGGGCACTGGTGGCAAATCTAGGCCTGAGATTATTTTGACCTTGCTGGAATTTTTTTAATATTTTAGTTGCATATCTAGATGCCTTAGAAGGTTGTGGCATCCATTTGGCTTTTAAATGCCAGCTATGAGAGAGGAGGTGGCTGCAGCACTGGCTAAAGGGCAGAAGGAAAAAGGGAAAATTCTCCTCCAAGGGAGCAGACCAATGTTGCTTAGACCCTAGCTCTGATCACCCTTCTCTCAAAACTCTGCATCCAAACCTCATCCTCAGGTTGATCTCTTCTACCCTTGACTGCCTGTTCCCAGATGTACTGGGTTGAAAAAGTTCATGTCCACTCAGAACCCGGAATGTGACCTTGTTTGAAAATAGGGTCTTTGCAGATGTTACCAAGGTAAGGGGAGCTCAGTGGATTAGAGTGGGCCCTACCTAGTCCAGTGATTGCTGGTTTTATTAAGAAGAGAACACACACACAGACACACATGCACCAAACACACACACACACACATATACACAAGAATGTGCCCTGTGAAAATGCAGGCAGAGCTTAGAGTGGCCTGGATCTGTATGTTGCTTCAGTTCTGGGAGCTCCCATGAGCCAGCAGAGAGACTGCAGGGTCTTCCTGAACAGTTCCTGAAGAGGAAAGAGAGACTCAGAGGATTGCCCCGATATCGCCCTTCCCTCCTCCTAAACTCTGCTGGGCTCTCCCACTCCCCCAGGAAGACTTCCCTGCTAACTTCTGCCCTGCAAGTTGACCCTGAGATTTTCAAGTGCCACCTGCCCCTGTGAACTTGAATGGATTGCGCTGTTCTTTGCACAAGAACAGAAACGTCTGCCTGGAGTGCAGCTTGTCCTGGTGGCTGGGACTTTCCTGACACACAGCTCCCCTTATCTGTTGTGGAGCGGTCTCACTGACATCTGAGCAAGCAACTGGAAGAAGCTTCAGCCCCAGTTCTAAAGGTTCACAGTGACTGACAGCTGGGGTTGAGACAGACCCGCCTTCTGTAGGTGGACTTGGTGATGGCCTCGGTTGTCCTTTTATAGACATTACCTATTGTGAGGGGCACGACTTTCACCCTCCTGCCCCACCAGTGTGGCAGTGCATTTTTTATTCTTTACATTTTTTATTCATATTATTTCTTGTTCAATTGAAGATGTACTTCTTCCTGAGTGTGCCTGTGAAAGGCTTTCTGAAAGAAGCTGCTTAGGTGACTCAGCCTGGAAGCTGAGGCAGGTTGCAAGGGGGCATCTTCCTGAGCCCTCAGTATGTCATCCATGAGGGACTGGATGGGCTCCAGTGACTCATTCTTCACTCCTTCCAGAGCTGAAACCAGAATGAGGCCAACTCAGACTCTGGACCCTAAGCACCGCCTCCCTAACCCCCTTCTTCCCACCCCATGCCAGGTCAGCATTGCACAGCTCTGCTTAGAATCATGTTTCCACTATAAAAGCAATACTTGTTTCACTGTAGGAAATACTTAATACACAATTTTTTTTAAGGAAAAGAAGAAAAATCACTCACCCCAGAGATAACACTGCTAATATTTGGTAGCTGTCCTTGCAGTCTTTTTTTAAAACAGCAACCAAAAAAACAAACAAACAAACAACAACAAAAAACAACCGAATGTTGATAGATTTTTTTTTCACAAAATAGGACTAGTAATTTTTTTCATTCCATAATATATTCCTCTATACAGCATAACAGGCAATCACATGATTCTACCATAACTTTTTTAAAAAAAAAAAAACAGGGCCTCAACCAGTCACCCAGGCTAAAGTATAATGGCGTGATCATATCTCACTGCAGCCTCAACCTTCTGGGCTCAGGTGATCCTCCTACCTCAGCCTCCTGAGTCATTGGGACTATAGGTGTGAGCCACCACATCTGACTAATTCTATCATAATTTTTTTGGTGAATACCCTATTTCTGAATAATTAGATTCTTTGCAATCTTTCAGTGTTATAAAAAGTAATCATAAATTCATTCAGCAACTATATATTGAGGACTTACTATTACCAGGCACTGCTAGGGGCTGGGGATCCAGGGGAGGACAAGAAAAACAGATTCCCACCCTTGAGAAGTTAGCATTCTGGTGGGGGAAAGACAAATCAGCAGTTAAATGCAAATTAAGTAAAAGGGAGGAAGCTGAGGGGAGTTCTGAGACCAAATGACGGGGGAGGAGCCCTTAGGCCCATCAGGGGATGTTTCTCTGAGAAGGTGATGCTCCAGCTCAGACCCGAAGTTGAAAGCCAGCCTACGAACACACAGGGCAAGGGCAGAAGACTTCCACGTGGTGTGTGTGGGGGGTCTCTTTGTGTCATAGAAAGTACCAGTGTGACTGCAGTTCCCAGAGGGGCAGGAAGTGGTGTAGGCTAAGGGTGAGAGGCCTCAGAGGTCAGGACATTCTGAGTCGGGTGAGTGAGAATATGGGAGCAGACTGAGACCCTAAGAGCAGTAGGGAGCTGCTGAGGGGTTTAAAGCAAGGAGTGGCATGTTCCAGCATGCATGTTCTAAAGAGAATCTGGCTGCTAAGAGCAGAATCGTATAGAGAAGAGGAAGAGGGTGTTGGGAGGCTGTTAAAGTGGTCCCGTTAGGGAATCATGAGGGTGTAGAGTAGGGTGGGAACAAAAGAAATGGAGACAGGAAATTCCTTAGCATGAAAAGGATAAAGACGAGAAAGAATCTTTGTTCAACAAAACTTGTTCATTTTAGGCCTTCAAACCCATCAATGTCTACAGCATAATGTTCGTTTCATTCACTTAGAACAGAACACAAGAACGGGGCTGAAGCTCTAACAGAAAAGACATAAGACCCTTGAGAAAGCATTACTTGAACACAAGGTTTCTGGGACATTAAACATGGGTATAAGTGCTGCTATAGTACCTTTCTGGGGAAGACTTCCTCCTGTCTCGGGGACTTAGGCATCATCAAAGGCAGGGTGGGATGAAGAAAGTAAGGTGAATGCTCTGGTAGACTGAGAAGTCTAGGATATACAGGGGGACTTCAGGTGTCAAAACAAGAGGAGAAGGCTTCAGAAGCACACAATGTCAGGGTCAGAATTGAAGCCAGGTTGCAGCCCAAAGGGGACAGACAGCCCTGCCAGTTACTCGTGCTTCAGAGGTGGCACGGCTGCTCTCGGAGAAGCAACTGACTATTTCAGTTTTCCCTGACTACAGCTATAAGGACGCTCCCTACCTGCCACCCTCCATATCATCCCCCGCCCGCACCTAGACACCCGAATCAAGGCAATGAAATTGTCTTGTGGGACATCTATGTGCCCAGCAAAGCTCAGCACATTATGTGCATTTTTATTCAATAATGACAACGATGTTCAAGATCAGCGCTGTTACTCTCATGACACAGATGAAGAAAGGCCTAGAGATGAAGTCACGTGCCCAAGTCTGCAGGGTCCTGACTCATAGAGCTGGTATGGAAACTGATCTGGCTGGTTCTGGAGCCCCTGCTTTTCCATTTCACCACTGACTAGGAGGAGAGAGAGGACCCTGAAATATCGTTTAGTTCAATACTTGACTCTCTAGACAAAGAACTGGGAATGACACATATGGGAAATAAGGAATTCTCCATCTGCAGAGGTCTGCTAGGCATTTTCTCTGAGGAGTCAATCATTCACCGTTCTCTCAAAAGCAGCTTATGCAAAATATGATCTCTTAGCAGCCACAGTATTCAATACCCTGATTAGGTTCAAATCAGAAGGCAAACACCTCAAGGACAAGAGTTTGCAACAAAAAAGGCAACAACAGCACCCTGGACACTCATGTCAGGACATTCCAATGTGCATACGCCTCCTTAAGCACAGAGGGATGCTGAAGATGATCTACCAAAGCAAACATTCTTTCTGTTTTGTCTCCACATCAAAGGAAGGAAATTGTTACATGGAAAACAGGAACAAGTAATTTATAACCTATTTCTGCTTGGTCCTAGAATGGACTGACTATCCTCACACCCTATCACAAGCACTGTTCACCCCTCTCTTCCTTCTTAGAGAAGTTAAAAACTGTGCTTCAGTGAGCTCCCATCCCACTCAAAGTAAAACCCTCAATCTTGACTGTGCCTAGAAGACCCAAGAGGATTCTGGCCCCACTACTCTTCTCTCATCTCATCTCCTGCTCTTCCTTCTGCTCCCTCCATGATCATCATACTGGCTTCTTGATCCTTGAACATGCCAAGGACTCTTCCCTTAGAGAGCCATAGAGCTCCCTTTCTCCCTTCCTTCAAGGTGTCAAAGAAAATACTGTTTCAGCACCCTCCAAGTTTATTACACCCAGAAGGATATTAAGACCCAAGACTGAGTCGCACCACCGGTTTCCAATTCTGCTTCTCAGATTAAAGGAGAACTCTCTTCCCCATTGTTCCTCTTCTGTGAATGAGTAGGAGAGACCAGAGACCAGGCCTTGCCCACTACCGAACCCAGATCTTTGTTATAGGTTAACTGACTCCTTTATTGTCGTGTACCTTGCTAAGACCAGATGACACCCGAGATGCCAAGACTGTTAAATCTTCAGTGAGGAATGTTAAATCTACCTTTCCACAAAGAAAAAGACCACCTGGACTAATTAGATCATTTAAATGATGCATTAAACCTTACACAGAAAGATGTTGAAATTCTGCTAGGCTTTCCCAAGCTTCCTCTGTATAAAGGATCCCAAACTTCACTTTGGAATACAGACTTCCATTCTGTGGAATCTGGGCTTCCCACACAGGCCTGTCCTCAACGTTTGTGCCTAAATCAACTCTATTTAAGGTAAATTCTGACCTTCTTGCGTCCTTTAGTTTAACAGGGGTCTCTGGTGAAGTGCCTCCTTATTGGAGAGGACATTTCTGTCACCTCACCCTCATACACTGCTCAGCCCCTCCCCTTGCTTTATTTTCTCCATGGTGCTTCCCTGACATGTATGCCCTTGTTGAGGGCTTGCTTCCTCTCCTTGACTAGAATGTAAGTTGCATGAAGCCAGGGACATCAGCTTAATTCAGTGCAGCATCCCCAGGGCTTAGAGAATCACCTGGCACACAGGAGGTTTTCAATAATTAAGAAACAAATTTGTGTAAACAGCAAGGGTGGGAGTTGGCAGAAGTGCATTCTGTATAAAACACAGGTATTTGTGTTTGGCTGTTGGTGCTAAGGAAGGCTGTGAAAGGTGAGTTCAAGTTTGCTTCTGATATACATTGGAAATATCAACTCCTCTTTCTCCGTAGCCACAACTCCCACTCCCTACCTCTTTTCTTTCTCAGGACTTTGGGAAGATTCAAGAACAATGTAGGGAACACGGGCTGTGGGAAGAGCCCTGAATTGGAATTCTACTGATTCTCCCAGTCATTCTCTATGTGACCTTGGACAAATGGCTTAGCCTCTGTAATGGGTAGGGTTGGATGTCAGGATGGGTAAATGAGAGTGAGCTGGCAATCTCTGGTGTCTGGATGAATTGCTCAGGGCCTCTCTATTCTACACAATCTTGGGATCTCTTTTATCTTAGAAATTTGTGCCTAGCTTGCACTTTACTCTATAATTTGCCCACTACAATTTTTAAAAATGTTTCAATTTTAAAATAATATGATTTTAGAAATATGCACCAAAATAGTTATAGATGAAACAATAAGAAGTCTGGGATCTGATTCACAATAATCCTGGCAGGGAGACAGTGTAAGTAAGGAGACAGAAAAACACGGGTGGCGTGAGTTGCTGTGGCTGGGGAATGGGCACATGGGAGTTTGTGATACCATTCTCTATACTTCTGTAGAGCACTGAAAACACAACTGAAAATCTTTGCAGCCATAAAATAAAAAAACAAGATCATGTATTTTTCAGGGACATGGATGGAACTAGTGTCGATTATATTTAGCAAACTAACACAGGAACAGAAAACCAAATACTGCTTGATCTCACTTATAAGTGGGAGCTAAATAATGAGAACACATGGACACATAGAGGGGAACAACACACACTGGGGCCTATCAAGTGGTGGAGGGTGGAAGGAGAAAGAGGACCAGGAAGAATAACTATTGAGTAGTAGGCTTAGTACCTGGGTGATGAAATAATCTGTACAACCAACCCCCATGACACATGTTCACCTAGATAACAAGCTTACACATGCACCAATGAACTTAAAATAAAAGTGAATAAATAAACGAAAAAAAAGGAAAATCTTAAACCACCTAGAGAAAAAAGATCACCTACAAAGGAACAAAAATTAGAATGACCCCAGGCTTCTTCACACCGACAAAGAAAGCCAGAAAACTATACTATATAATATCTTCAAAGTGCCAAGGGAAAACAATTGTCACTCTAGAATTGAGTCATCAGTACAGTGGTCTTTCAAGAATGACAGTAAATAACATTTCAAACAAAAACTAAGGGAGCTCACTTAAGAGCACTAAAGAAACTTTTAAAAGCTGACTCTGCAATGAAGAGAAGTGGATGGGCCTCAAAGGAAGGTCAGACATGCAAAAGAAATGTAAGAATGTATGTAAATCTAAACAGTTTGTATAAAATGATGGCAGTCATAGCCTCTGATAATGGTTTGGCTGTGTCCCCACCCAAAATCTCATCTTGAATTGTAATCCCCCTAATGCCAGGTGTCAAGGGAGAGATCAGGTGGAGGTAATTGGATCATGGGGGTGGTTTCCTCCATGCCGTCCTCATGATAGTGAGTTCTCACGAGGTCTCAAGGTTTTATAAGGGAGATTTCCCTGCTCTTGCTAGCAATTCTTCCACCTGCTGCCTTGCGAAGAAGGCGCCTTGCTTCCTCTTCACCTTCCATCATGATTGTAAGTTTCCTGCCTCCCCAGCCATGCAGAACTGTGAGTCAATTAAACCTCTTTCCTGAATAAATTACCCAGTCTCTTCATAGCCGTGTGAGAACGAACTAATACAGCCTCTAATTTCTGGGCTAGATAGAACTAAAATAATGGCCATCAAAAGCCTGTAATTGGGAAGGACAGTGATTGGAATGAGTGTCAAGACAGGACAGAAGGTTATAATGTGGTTTTACTTCACACTCTGTTAAGTTTAGAATGCATGATAAAAGTCTACTTTTTGGTACCTAGCCCGGAGAACCCTTCACAATTGTGTATAAGGAGGCATATTTAAAAACGTTCTGGGGACAGTGGGAGGAACAGCATCAGGAAAAATAACTAATGCATGCTGGGCTTAATACCTAGATGATGGGTTGATAGGTGCAGCAAACCACCATGGCACACATTTACCTATTTAACAAACTTACACATCCTGCACATGCGCCCCAGAATTTAATATAACAATAAAAAAAAGTTCATGCTAGTATTGCTTGAATAGTAACATCCTGGGAACAACTTCAGTGTTCATCTACATGGGAAATGATTTCTAAACTCTAGAATATCAATACCACGGAACACTACTGGGAATGCAGTAGATCTGTTGGAACCAACATTTCAGTGGGAAACAAACAAGTGTCTGAAACTTTTCATACACATATTTATAAATATCCCTTATGAACATCAATGCAAAAATCCTCAACAAAATACTAGCTAACCAAATTCAACAGCGTATCAAAAAGATAATACACCGTGATCAAGTGGGCTCCATACCAGGGATTCAGGGTTGGTTTAACATACACAAGTCAGGCCGGGCACAGTGGCTTACACCTGTAATCTAGCACATTGGGAAGCCATGGTGGTTGGATCACTTAAGGCCAGGAGTTTGAGACCAGCCTGGCCAACATGGCAAAACCCTGACTCTACTAAAAAATACAAATAAATTAGTTGGGCATGGTGACACACACCTGAAATCCCTGCTACTTGTGAGGCTGAGGTATGAATATCCTTTGAACCCGGGAGGTGGAGGTTGCAATGAGCCAAGATCATGCCATTATACTCCAGACTGGGTGACAGAGCAAGACTCTGTCCCCAACCCCTGAAAAATATATGAGTTAATAAATGTGATACACCACATAAACAGAAGTAAAAGCAAAAATCATGTGATCATCTCAATAGACACAGAAAAAGCATTTGATACAAATCCAGCATTTCTTTATTATTAAGACCCTCAGCAAAATTAGCATGGAAGGGACAAATCTTAAGGTAATAGAAGCCATCTATGACAGACCCATAGCCAACATTATACTGAACAGGGAAAAGTGGAAAGCATTTCCTTTGAGAACTGGAGCAATATAAGGATGCCCACTTTTACCACTTCTATTCAGCTTAGTACTGGAAGTCCTAGCCAGAGCAATGAGACAAGAGAATGAAATAAAGGGCATCCCAATTGGTAAAGAGGAAGTCAAACTGTTGCTGTTTGTTGATGATATGATCGTATACCTAGAAAACCCTAAAGACTCATCCAAAAAGCTCCTTTATCTGATAAATGAATTCAGTGAAGTTTCAGAATACAAGATCAATGTACACAAATCAGTAGCACTGCTATACACCAACAGTGACTAAGCTGAGAATCAAATCAAGAACTCAACCCCTTTTACAACAGCTTAAAAAAAAAACTTAGGAATATACCTAATCAAAGAGGTGAAAGATCTCTGCAATGCAAACTACAAAACACCCCTGAAAAAAATCATAGATGACACAAACAAATGGAAACGCATCCCATGCTCATGCATAGGTAGAATAAATATTGTGAAAATGACCATACTTCCAAAAGCAATCTATAAATTCAATGCTCCATCCAAATTATTTTCTCCATCCAAATACCAGCATCATTCTTCACAGAACTAGAGAAAACAATCCTAAAGTTCATATGGAACAAAAAAAGAGCCTGCATAGTCAAAGCAAGACTAAACAAAAACAACAAATCTGGAAATATCACATTACCCAACATCAAACTATACTATAAGGCTATAGTTACCAAAAAAGCATGATACTAGTATAAAAACAGGTGCATAGACCAATGGAACAGAATAAAACCCAGAAATAAAGCCAAATACAGCCAACTGATCTTCAACAAAGTAAACAACAACATAAAGTGGGGAAAGGACACCCTAACCAATAAATGGTGCTGAGATAATTGGCAAGCCGCATGTAGAAGAATGAAACTGGATCCTCATCTCTCACCTTACACAAAAATCAACTCAAGATGGATCAAAGACTTATATCTAAGACCTGAAACCATAAAAATTCTGGAAGCTAACAGAAGAATTCTTCCAGACATTGGCCTAGGCAAAGGGTTCATCACCAAAAACTTAAAAGCAAATACAACAAAAACAAATATAAATAGATGAGACTTAATTAAACTAAAAAACCTTCTGCACAGAAAAAGAAATAATCAGCAGAGTAAACAACCCACAGAGTGGAAGAAAATATTTGCAAACTATGCATCCAACAAAGGACTAATATGTAGAATCTACCAGGAACTCAAACCAGCAAGAAAAAAACAATTCCATCAAAAAGAGGGCTAAGGACATGAATAGACAATTCTCAAAAGAAGATGTACAAATGGCCATCAAACATGTGAGAAAATGCTCAATATCACTATCAGGGAAATGCAAATCAAAACCACAGATACCACCTTCCTTCTGCAAGAATGTCCAAAATTTAAAAATCAAAAAACAATAGATGTTGGTGTGGATGTGGTGGAAAGGAAACACTTTTACACTGCCGGTGGAAATGTAAACTAGTACAACCATGATGGAAAACCTTACGGAGGTTCCTTAAAGAACTAAAAGTAGAATTACCGTTTGACCCAGCAATCCCACTACTGGGTATCTGCCTTCCCAAAAGAAGTCATTATATGAAAAAGACACTTGCACACATGTGTTTATAGCAGCACAATTCACAATTGCAAAAATATGGAACCAGCCTAAATGTCCATCAACCAACGAGTGAGTAAAGGAATTGTGGTGTATATATATATATACACACACACAACATAAAATACTACTCAGCCATAAAAAAGTAACAAAATAATGGCATTTGCAGCAACCTGGATGCAGTTGGAGACCATTATTCTAAGTGAAGTAACTCAGGAATGGAAAACCAAACACCATATGTTCTCACTTATAAGTGGGAGCTAAGCTATGAGGATGCAAAGGCATAAGAAAGATACACTGAACTCTGGAGACTTGGGAAGGGGTGGGAGGGTGGTGAGGGATAAAAGACTATACATTCAATGCAGTGTACACTGCTTGGGTGATGAGTGCACCAAAATCTCAGAAATCACCACTAAAGAATGTATCCATCTAAGCAAACAGCCTGTTCCCCCAAAACTATTGAAATACTACTAATAAATAAAAATTATATTTGTATATGTGTATTTATAGAATGTATATAAAGACAAAGAACACAGGACTCTACAGCAAACAGGCAGGGGAGGAGGGCAGAGGAGCGAGGTGGAGTGGGGTGAGTGCAACTTTACCCTTGTTGGTCACATTTCTACTCTTTTGTAAAGACACTGTATTTGTGCATTTTCTTCTGTAAATATAAATTAATGTTAGAAGAGTTCAGTGCAATAAAAAACAAAAAACTGCAAGTTTATGAAGAGCAGGGATGTGTCTGTCTTGAACACCATTTCACTGTAAGCACCTATAGCACATTATAAATGTTCATGGACTGGAAGGGGAGATCCCCAAAATATTAGCAGTCTTTTTATCTCACTAGTGGGACAATGTATAATTTATTCGTTCCAAATACTTTTCTCCATTTTCCACTTTTCTATATGACATTGATAATGGTAAAAATAAAATGATGAACCATGTTCTTAAGAAATGTCTTCATCCCCCATTCTCTCTCACCCCGCCCCCTAGTGTCACCCAGAACCCAGGTGCAAGGCCCAGACTCACCATCCCATATCAGCTGCATATCCTCATCG
This sequence comes from Homo sapiens, assembly GCF_000001405.40. Taxonomy (NCBI): domain Eukaryota; kingdom Metazoa; phylum Chordata; class Mammalia; order Primates; family Hominidae; genus Homo; species Homo sapiens. Next base: position 31,043,351 of record NC_000012.12, on the reverse strand, counting down.
TGGATCTGGTGGATGTTCACCCATTTGACTGTGAATCCTAAAGATTCATCTGCAGTCACGGGTGTTGCTTTCACACAGGGCCAGCCAAGAAATTCTAGTATAAAAATGCCAGAAGTCACTACCAAGGATCGATATACATTTAGGAAAACCAGCACTACAGATGAAAGGAAACGTTCAAGAAACACAACACCCAGCATCCAGCCGGGCACAGTGGCTCACACCTATTATCCCAGCACTTTTGGAGGCAGAGGCACAGTATTGCTTGAGCCCAGGAGTTCAAGACCAGACTGTGCAACATGGTGATCCCCATCTCTACAAAAAAATGCAAAATTAGCCAGGCATGGTGACATGTGCCTGTAGTACCAGCTGGGAGGCTGAGGTGGGAGGATCACGAGCCTGGGAGGTTAAGGCCGCCGTGAGTCATGATCCTGCCACTGCAGTCCAGCCTGGGTGACAGATCCAGACCCTGTTTCAAGCAAGCAAAACCAAAAGAAAACCCACCATCCAAGGATGGAGTTAACAATAAAATCTGAACAAAACTTTAGAGAAAGTACTATTGAATCCCCAGAAACTTTTTCTTAAAAGATATTGAGTTCAGTTCCTAAAGTGCTTAGAAATTCAAAATTTGAAGTTATATATAAATCAATAAATAAATCAATACAGGCACTGGTCAGGCAATATCGCCACAGAATAATGAAATAACTATCAAGATACCACAACATCATCCAGAAGAGAAAAATATAGAGTACCTTCTGCATTAGAAAAACAAAAAGTTAAATGAAAATTCAATAGGTGGGTTGAATAGCAGAATAACCACAACTAAAGGGTGAATTCGTTAAAAGTGAATCAGCCCAGAAATTCTTCCAAAGTAGACAAAGAAATGGGAAATATGGAAGAGAAATTAAGAAACATAGAGAATAAATCCAAGTAAATTCCAAAAATGGAACAGACAGAAGAGAAAAGAGGGCATGTGAACCAAAATAGTAGAAGAAAGTTTCACAGATGATGAGACCAGTAAGCTTTGCCTCAGTGCCCTGCCTCCCTCCACATGACTGGGTGAATGGCAAAGCAGCACCCAGCACCCACATCTGAGGGGCCCTGTGGTGCAGCTCTTACCATTTCCCCAGGTGGCCTCTGTGTAGGTGATGGCCACTTAGTACTTCTCACTTGGACTATAGCTCCTGACTTCCAAATTCAGCAATATGGAAGATAACAACCTTCTTACTCTAAACACCTTGATATACTAGATAAAATATTATATATATGCATAGCTGAGCTTGCAGGAGAGTAAGAGAAATCTCTAGGGACCAAAAACAAAAAGTTTGCTGACACTCCACCTACTAGGGGTTGGAGGGCATCACTGGTCCCAATAACCCCCCAGGGCATGGGTTGTAATATCTCCTGGGATCCACAGCCTGCAAGCCACACAACCAGAAACGGAGGTGTATGCACCGGGATACAGAGAGAGCTCTGAGAGAATCCCTCTAGGTAACACCCAAGGAGCCAGAAACACTTCACAATGCTCAAAGGAAGTGAAGAAATCCCTCGTTTCTTTTTCTCTCGGTCTCTCAAGCCTCAGCCTCCAAGCAGGCCCCATGGGAACCTGCAGAAAACAAAACTGAGGGAGGGAAGCCCTCCTCTCCATTTGCAGTCACTGTGGGCCCAAGAGGATGAGGAAAATTCCCATTGCTTTATTTCTTCTCTGCCGCTTGCCACTTAGCACCAGATGTGGGGACAGTCACAGAAGTGCCTGGCACTGTGGAGCAACAAAAGCCCCAGCTTTCTGGCCACTGAAGAAGGGGAGCCCCAGGGAACTGTAAAGTACCAGGGAGGTGGCAGAGAGGAGGAAAGTGATCCTATAAAGGTGTTTATGAACTCCCGAGCTCATTACATACCCAGGTCTGACCCTGACCAGCACGTCATAGACAATGAGAACTGAACTACAGGATGGACTACTATCCAGGTCCCAGGCTGGCTGGTGGCCCAAATGCACAATAGCAGAGGCTTCGAACCAAGAACTGGCATTGGAATCACAACCCGCGGACGGCTGACAGGATTGGCAGCCTGAAGGTAAATAGGTCAATTGCCTGCTAAAATTACCAGGACACTCTTGGAAGACCCACAGTCACATAATATCATATTCATAATGTCTATGATTCAATCCATAATCACTCAGCATGCAAAGGACCAGGAACATTTCAACTCACATGGGAAGAAAATGAACATGCCCTGAAGTCAAGGGGAAAGAGATTGGAATTATGTAATAAAAACTTTAAAGCGGTTACTGTGCAAAGTGTTCCAAAAAGCCACGGTGAACACTCTTGAAATAACAGAAATAGTCTCAGCAAAGAAATAGAAGACATACAGAAAAACCGTGGAAAGCTTTAGAACTGAAAAATATAAGCTTGGGTAGGCTCCATAGTAAAATGGAGATGCCAAAGGAAAGAATCAGTGAACTTGAAAACAGATCAATAAAAATTATCCACTCTGAACAGAGAGAAAAATGATTCAAAACCAAAAGTATCTTGTGACCTGAGACCATAACAAAAGGTGTAACATTTGTGTCGTGAGAGTCCTAAAAGAAGAGAAAGAGCATGGTGGGGCTGAACAACAATTCTAGAAATAATAGTAAAAACTTTCCAAGTTTGGTGAAAGGTATCAATTTAGAGATTAAAGTTGCTCAGTGAACCTCAAACAGACTAAAACCAAGGAAATGTATGCCTAGAAACATCACAGACTGCTGAAAGCAGAGACAAATATAAGGCCAAATAAAGACATTTTCAAAGACTAAAAATGTTTACTACTAAGAGACCCTCACTGAAGGAACCACAAAGGAAGGAAAAACAAAATAAATCTAAAAGGGAGGAAAGAGCTGGAAGAAAGAAATATAAGCCAAGAAATTTGTAAGCATATGGGTAGATCTAAACCAGTATTAACTGTACAAAATCATGACAGTCATGAAGATGATGACATAAAGAGCAAATTTACAGGTTAAATACAAAGGTGGAGCTTTAGCCCAGTATTTTAATACTGGGCAACATTAGTATATCATGTGGGAGGCTGTGATCAGAATTCAAGCATTCAAAGATCCATGGATTGTATCATTTGGAGGAAGGAAAAAGATATTATCTTCAGACTTAGTTAAGTCAAGTATAGTACACATGGTAAATTTTAAACATAACAGAAAGATAGGTGAGTCTGACATTGGCCTTGCCACCAGCAGGTGTCCAAAGTCATAGAGGAGATGAGACCAATACAAAAATAGTTGAAATCCAAGGCTCACAAGTTGAGAGAGTTATAGATGCCAGAGCTGGAGTCCCATAAACCTGTGTCTCAGGGATGTCAGGTCCTTCCCAGCTCTAAACTTGTGTCACCTGCAAGGAAGATGAGATGTGAGAAGGAGTGGGACAGGTCTGGTCAGTTCAACTTTCTGAGTCTTACGTTTCTCTTGCCATGAGGACCCTGGGATCCTAAGGCTTCTGTATGATTTGGGAGGGGGGTAGAGCCACTTGTTCTCTCCCCGCTTCACTCCATGAGTGGAGTCTGCAGAATAAGATCCTTCGAGTCAGAACCATCTTCATATCAGTCAGTTGGTTTCTTATTTGGGTACCAGTGGCTCCTCCAGAAAATTCTGGTGAGTCAGTGGAGGAGTGTGTGCTCCATTGCATGGAGTAAGTAATGCATTTGGGACATGTCCTATGCTCAGCTTCAAGTAGCCAAGTCTCCTTTCTTCTGTCCCTTGGTGACCTAGGCCTCGCACCACGGTGCCTTGCCCTAACCCAGTATCCTAAGCTAAGCCCATATTGTGTCCAACTGATCCTAGGGACCTGGGCACATACATCATTAATCAGTGGATGCAGCTGCCTGGCAATACTGCAGAAGAGTGGCTTGGTGTCCCTGCCCTGCATATGGCAGAGGATGTTATGCAGGTTCTTCACTGCCTGCAGTGCCTCTCACACTCAGTCTCCAAATTCCCACTCATTCTTCAAAATGCAGTGCAGACATCCCTTTCTCAAGAAGCCTCCCTTGTCCCTTGCCTCACCTCTAACCCAAGCCCCTCCCCACTGACCTCCTGTACCCGTGCATACATCCCCCTTCTCCCTACCACATGTCATTCCAAATCTCAGCTGTATCCTCTCCTTCTACACACTAGCTTTCTGGGAATAGTGAGGAATTCCAGTCATGGTTGCATCTCTCACAGCCGTCACAAACCCCAACACATGTCAATGCTTAAATTGGTGTTGTTCACCCCTGCACTGACCTCTTTACAGTGCTTAAGACATTCTTTTCGTGAGGAGAAAACTACACGTCCTTGGGCACACCTGCCATGACATCTTCTGATTTTTATAGGGACTTGTGTACAGGGTGGCTCAGCACATTCAGTCTTCCAATTGCCATGCTCTATTGTCTACCTCTAGAGCTAAACTTTTTCGTTTCAGACCCTCTGCATAATCTCCTTTTTATTTTTGAGACAGGGTCTCACTCTGTCCCCCAGGCTGCAGTGCAGTGGCGCAATCATGGCTCACTGCAGCATAGACCTCCCTGGCTCAAGTGATCCTCCCACCTCAGCCTCCCAAAGTGCTATGATTACAGGCGTGAGCCACCACACCAGGCCCATAAGTGGTGCTGTCCAGTGAGAAGAATTAGGAGAATGAAGAATCCATAGAGCACTCCCACCCACTGCTGCCCTTGTTCTCTGATCAAACTAATGCTTCCATCTCAGGCATCTGTACCCTGGCAGGTGATATGTTTCTCCACTGCCACCTGGAAGCTCCTTGGAGGCAGTTTGTAGAGATGTGATTTAACCCACAGCTTCCTGATGACCCTTTGTGGGTTGTTCTACCTCACAGTCATTAGGACCAAGGTACAAATCTCCTCCAGTTCTCCTTGTGGCTTTTGGAAAGAGAAGGTTCCAAGGCTCATCCCCAAGAAAAGTCCCCAGGCATCTGCGAATGAGCTTTGGTCATTAAGTGATTCTCTCCTATCAGGAGGGCAGGGACTCACTTACCTCAACCTCCCACCCCGTCCAACATACACCTTCCCAGTGATGGAGGGAAAGAGCTCTCTAGAGGGTGCAAGAGGACAAGAGGAGAAGAGGAAGGGACCTGTTCTTAGTCTGTGAAGTCTCTGGCTTATATGTCAGGGTGAGGGTGGGGACCAGTTTCTGGAGCACAGAGCTTCTTCTGAAGCTGTGAGTAAACCATCAGGAAGGTGGGAAGAAGTTGTGGAAGCAACTTTGGAAATTCCCTGGTACCTCAGAGGTCTAGGTCAGAAGACATGCGTGCCAAGGGAAGGCAAGGAAACCTACTCATAGGTAGTAGGTAGCCAAGAAAATAAAATAGCAGATTAAGCCAGTGTCAGGAAGGTAAGTACCCAAGTGTGTGGATGGACAGGCAGGTAGATGACATGAATACTTGGTCTAAAGGTGTGCAGGGCTGGGCGCTGTGGCTCATACCTGTAATCAGAACACTTTGGGAGGCAGATCACTTGAGGTCAGGGGTTTGAGACAAGCCTGACCAACATGGTGAAACCCTGTCTCCACTAAAAATACAAAAATTAGCCAGGTGTGGTGGCAGGTGCCTATAATCCCAGCTACTCAGGAGGCTGAGCCAGGAGAATTGCTTGAACACTTTGGAAACAATGTCACAAGCTGCGGATATAGTCCACGGTAGAACTGAAACGATGACCTTATTTCCTAGCACTGTGCCTTCATCAACGGGCTTCTTAGCTCTTGGTCTCTAGAGAGAACCCCTCACATACACACATCATGTTGTCTATGCATCAGCTAAGCACAGTACAGCTGGGGCCCCTTGCACACAGAGACCAAGATGTGGAAGGACGGAAGCCAGGCCAGGCAGGGCCAGGGAAGCCACTGCCTCTCATCTCCACTTTGCGCTTCCTGGCAGGAGCAGGAGAAGGTGAGGATCTCAGCCACCTCTGCTGTGGGCCACATGCTGCAGCAACTAAAAACATGTAAGCCTGGAGGCATCACCCCCCAAAATTTTTTCACACTTCTGATATCATTGGTGCTCAGCATTCAGGAAAATAACATGGAAGTGCTCCAGGTACACTGGCTGTCACTTGTCTGGCCACTGCCAGGCCTGATATGTGTCCCCTTTCCTTGAGAGCAGGGCCCCTTCCCTGTGGCCATTTCCATGAGCCCAGCCTTGCCTGTAGGCTCTACATTCACCTCTTTGACATTGTCCTCTGGGTGGCTCTGAACATATCTGCCCTCTCTTTATGACGGAAGGGCTTCCACTCAGCCCCTTGGCTGGAGAGTCACAGGAGTGAGGTTGAGGCCTCCCTTCTCTCCATCCCATAGGCCTGGGGAAAGGCTCTGGCGGTGTGGGCTGACATGATTGGCTGGTCCTCACTCATCCAGCCATTGCTGCGTGCCACGCTCAGCGACCACATGCATGTAGGTCCTGGAGGAAATCTGCAAGTACCTGGTGAGTGAGGGTCTCAGGAGAGGCTGCACACAGTCCTCATGCTGAGCCCTCAGTAGCGGGTTCCGTGGGCACAGAGGGGTGGGCTGCCAGAGAGAGGTTCCTGTGCTCCTTGTTTCTCACTCCTTCACATGAGCCCACTCTGAGAACCCACAGCTGGGGTGCCAGTCCCTGGTTCTCTGTATTTGACTCTCTGGGCATCCAGATCACTGCCTCAAAGGCTGGGGAGGTCATGCCAGGTCCCTGGATGGCAACTGGCCAGAGGTCTTCTGGTTGGAGTGGCAGGGAGAGAAGAGGGCAGGAGCATCAGGCCTCTGGTCAGTTGGCATGGGGTGAAGGGTCTGTGGCTCCTGCAAATTCAAGAACAAGCCAGGGCTCAGGAATCCCTGTTGAAAAGCAAACATTTAAGGGCTAAGAAAGTAGGTTAAGAGCTCAGATGAGTCATTCTAAGGATTTATAGCATAAATCCTTCACATAGGGGGAGCATTTTACAAAGCACTTTTCCATTTATTACCCACGGGCACTTGTCATGGTGTGTGGGAGGTTGGGCGGGATTGCCTTCCACTCTACTCTCAAGAAAGTGAAGCCAGTGGGTGCCAGGTCCAACTTTCAAACCCAAGGCTCCCAGCCCCATGGAGTTGTTTTCTCTCACATCCTGTGGGTTCCCAGAAGCAGTAAACTTCCTGCTGCAGAGGGGTGGGGGTCTGAGTCTGCAGGGTCCAGCAGTCAGAGCTGCCTGAAGATGCACTGCTGCTGCTGGGGACAGTGGGGAGGCCGTGGCTGCCAGGAGGCCTTCTGCAGGACTCCCAGTGGCTCCTCTCCTGGTCAGCACCGCCCATGGCTGTAGAAGGAGAGGTTGCCAGGAAGAGGGTCTCTGCAGAGGGAGTCTAGAAAGTGCAAACATTCCTCCCACATAAGAAACTTTTCATCTTCCTTGAAGCAGAGGGCAAGGTCGCTGGGAGCTGGGGCTGGCGAGGGGCGAGTCAGTAGGAAAGAAAGCTTCAGGAGACCGGCGAGGGTCTGTCATAGCCATTGGGGGAGTAGGACATAAAGCTGGCCAGAGACCACAGGACTTACGGGCAGCACCAAGGACGAAGCAGAGGCCAGGAGCTCATACCCGTCTAGATCCATGAGGCCATGTGGTCTCAGCAGCGCTCAGCCGCCCCACACAGGACAGAGAAGGTGGCAGCTGGACTGAGTCAAGGGGAGTCCTCCTGTGATTGTCCCCAGGGGCAGACGGTGAGGTCAAGGGGATGAGGGATTGCTGAAGTAACTGATGGGATGGGCCATGGAGAAGCAAGTGAAGAGGCTGAGGGGACTCAGGGAGGGTCCTAGGAGGAAATAGAAAGCCTAAGTCCTTGATGTGGCACAGGGCCACTGGGTAACAAGGCGGAGAACAGCAAGCACAAGAAATTGTCAAGGAGGAGACACCAGCCTGCGGCTTCAAGAGGTGGTGTATTACTCATTGCTAAGGAGGAAGAGGGTAATTGGACTGGGATGCTGGAGATGGAGCCCTGGGCTCTAGCCAGCATAGGGCTGCCAGACGTAGCCACCAGCTCTGAATTCTCAACTCCGATTCTGGGATAATATCCTGACTTTGCTGAGCACAGATCTTTTTTTTTATTATCATTTTTCAATAGAGACAAGATCTCCCTCTGTCACCCAGGCTGGAATACAGTAGAGGGATCATAGTTCACTGTAACCTCAAACTCCCAGGCTCCAGCAATCCTCCTGCCTCAGTCTCCTGAGTAGCTAGGGCTGCACATGCATGCCACCATGCCCAGCTAACTTTTTAAGTTTTTAGTAGAAATGGAGTCTCTCTATGTTGCCCAGGCTGGTCTCAAACTCCTGGCCTCCAGCGATCTGCCTGCCTCAGCTTCCCAAAGTTCTGAGATTGCAGGCTTGAGTCACTGTGCCAGAACTATGCATACCTTTGACTTAATAGCAACCTTGACCTGGAGCTCATCCTTTAAAAATCAAATTTTAAAAAAATATGATTTCAAAACCACACATAGTAAAGAATTTGGAGAATACAGAACACCAACACAGAAAAGATTAATACAGAAAATCAATACAGAAGAGAAGTTAGAAATCTCCTGCAAACCTACCACTGGGATTTAGACATGATTAATTTGGGGTTAGCTCTTTCCAGTTTGCCTTTTTTTTTCTTTTTCTTTTCTTTATTTTTTTAATTTTTTTTTATTTTTTGCCTATTCAGGAGCATTTTAGTAATGTATCCTCCAACTTACTGGGGCTTGGAGCTCTGTGACTCAGTTTTCCTGGTTAGAAGATATGATGGCCACATGCCAACAAATTTCTGGAACAGCTTTCATGTGGTTTCCTCATACCTGCAGCCAGGAGGGCTGCATATCTCTCCATCCTAGGCAGTGAGGATCAGAGAGCCGGGTGATGGGTGCAGAGCCATGCAGCAGGCCCATGGGCTCCAGGGTTCCTCACCTTAACCCAAGTGGGTGCCAGAGAAAAATCTCACCTCGAGAGGAGGCACAGACACCAGGCTGCCAGGGCCGTGCACCACAGGTCAGATCCATCCAGAATCTCCCACGAGCTGTTCTCATGCCTCTGTGACACAAAGTCAGAAAAGCAGTCAGTCCCAGAAGAGAGTTTACAACTTGCTTTTTGAGCCAATCAGACCTTTGAACAAAATGTCCTCTTTTCCACAGTGTATCTGTCCTATTCACCTTCAGTTTGGAGAGCTGTTCTGACCTTTCTTAACGAAATGAGTGTCTCCCCTTCTTCGGCGAATAATAAATTCAGTGTCTGCTTTAGACAGCTTTGGTGACCTTTGTGTTCTTCTGTGGCATGAACCTCGCTTTAGTCATCGCTGTGGCCAGTGGATAGCCACTCTCTTCTGAGGGCTGTCACAGAATTCCTCCTTCTGAGAGGTTTATTGGTGATGGGGTAGGGGGTGGTCAGGGGTCCCAAGCCTCCCGGGCGAAGGCCAAGCCCTGCTTTCTTTACCAAGTTGCTCAGAGGTCTCCACTTGCAAATCATTAGCCTCATTGGGTTGGCACTCGTCCACTTGCATTTCTAGCTGGGACATTCTCTTCTATGAAAATAGTTTGTGGATATGACGAGTGGGCAGAGGAGTTTGTTTCTGTTAAGGAGTTGCTGATGGTAGGGCAATGATTCCAACTTCCATTGTTCAGCCAGATTCCTTCATTCCCCAAACTGCTCTGGATTTAGCCTAATCTTGGAAGTCAGAGTCCTGTTTGACTAACGAGAAAAATCAGAACTTCTGGGTAAAGTTACCAGACATTCACTATTGGGAGGAAATAGCTCCAGACTTGGGCTTGCCACTGTCCTTCCTTGCCCCCTCTTGGATGGAATAGTTGGGAACTCTTCCCCTCCCTACCTCCCCAGTCTTCCCCAGGGTGAGAAGAGCTTTTTTATTCCTATTAGCCATGATTTCAAGCCAACATTGAAAACGTTTTGATTTCCTGGATCGTGGGGGAAGCTTCTGTCTGGGCATCCCAGCCTCACATACTGAGTGCCTCTTCGAGCCCTGTGTGGTGAATCAAGTGTGCCCTCCTGAAAGCCTCCTTGACTCCAGGTGCAGTCAGTGTATTTTCTCCTACACTATTGGAATCAGGGCTTCTTGAATCAAACCTGCAAATTTATGCAAACACTATGCTAACATTTTTGACAAAAACTGGCAAAGGAAGGCCTTTTGCAGGTGAAGTGCAGCTAACACCTAATGGCTAGCAGAGGGCTGTTTGGGGTGGGGACTCAGGTGAGAGTTGAAGCAGAGGAGTGGGAGGAAGGAGGGTTGGTTGGTGTCTGCAGCAGTGATGGAAGATGCTGGGGCCTTCCTCCTCCCCTGCCTTCCAACATGGGAGTAACCAGTGAAGGAGCAGACAGAGAGTCAGGGACTCCCTGTCTCTTTTTCACAGTTGAGACATCTTCAGAGCTGGGGTGAGGACTGAATCTCTTAGCCCCTCTTGAGATGCTCCAGATGCCGCATCTAGTACAGAGTATGAGGTTGAGAGGCCCCCATGCCCTCCGGCCTTCCTATGCTATTACATTCACATCATACTCTACCACATCGTCATTCACTTCACATTAAAGCATCTTAATTGTCCCCTGGAAGGTTAAGCTGTGTGGTTCTTACTTTTCTATGATCTGTCTTTATCAAAGAGCCGTTTACCCTTTAAATCTTAACATTGGAAGGTCCTTTAGTGATCACCCTGTGCGATCCCTCTGTTTTATGCATGAGGGGACTAAGACATGAAGAAGTGGTTTACCCCAGTTCTCAGACCCAGACTCCAAACCAGTCATAATCCCGCTAGGTGACATTACTTACTGGACAACAGGCCCCCGGCAATCTAAGTGCCACTTGAGATATCATGGGAGCAAAAACTACTTGTCTTCTTTTAAAGGCAAGCATCTTTAAAAGAGGTACTTTGGGTCAAGAATGATTTTGTAAGTGCACACCCCTGTCACTTCCAGCGAGGGACCCTGGAAGGTAAACGAACAATCCTAACAATGCCCAGCACTCACACCATGCCCTTCCTCTGAGGCGTGCTCTGAAGAACAATCTTGCTTGTCCTTGGAATCATCCTTGTGAAGGTGTGGGAGGGAGGGACCATTATCCTCATCTTTAGAGGAGAATCCAGGCACTGAAAATAGACAACAACCCGCACAGTGGTCAGGCTGGCATTAGGCTCAAGGCCACATGCGTGTTGGCCCTGGCCCATTTCTTGTGAGCTGTGGAGAACCAGTTACCTCCTTAACCCAGGGCCACGGTGTAGCCAAGGGACATCTGGAGGGTGACACTCTTTGCTTTTAGGTCTAGAAAGGGGAGAGGAAACAAGAGAGAAGAGGAAGCAGCAGAAAAAGGGAAGGGAGGAAAGTGGAGATAAAGACAGGGCCTGGCAGGGGCAGGATAGATGCTAATGCCTTGCCACTGCTCTTAATGTCGGCATGTGGAGAGCCTGGCTTGGCAGCTCGGTTACCAGCCTTTAGGGCTTTGATGCCTTCCTGTCATCACCCAGCATTATTGGAAATTCACTAGGGTTTTATATTCAGAAGAAAACAGAGTCCCTCCCCTTCATTTCTGAGCAGGAGTAGCTCCCACTGTCAGCCAGCCTTTTCCTCCCCTCAGAGCACAGTTTATGACAGTTCAAGTTTTGTTCTCTGTTCTGTAAGCTGCTGTTGTGCAAGGGAGGAGAACAGGTACTCGTGGGTGTGCTAGAGCTGAAACGTGTTTATCTGAATCTGAACAGTGGGTGCTTTCACACACACACACACACACACACACACACACACACACAGAGAGAGAGAGAGAGAGAGAGAGAGAGAGAGAGAGAGAGAGAGTGGTATTCAGCACCTTCCCTTAGGGCTGCAAGGCTCCTCATCTCCCCTCCTGCAGCAGCAGATCTGGGCTCCTGTTGAAGACAAGCCCTCACAGCACTTGGGCGGACATCATTTACCAGGCACATCAAAGGTTGGGAAAGATGTGACTAATGAGTCTAGCTTGTGCAAGACTCATCCTCTTACCTCCCTCTCACCATCACATTCCCAGTCCCACTAAAGCATAGGATTCTGGCTGAGTCTTTGGCTAAAATGAGTAGTGGCAACTCCTCTTGTTTAGGCATCCAAGCACACACCACCAGATCCAGCAAGTGCACACCAACTCCACTTCAGCTAATTTATGACTTCAAAGGTGGTCTAGAAAGGAGACCTTTACAACAGAAAAGCTTCCTGGACTGCAGGCAGAGTTGTGCCAATGCATTCAGGCCATAATTCTGATTGCTCCCCATAAGCCAGGAAACTCACTACTCACTATGCCCACCTTGCTGTTTGCCATCACAGAAATGCACTTGAGTTGCTCACCTGCATTGCTACAGTTAAACCACAGGCTGCAGGTGCAGCACTCTTTCCAGGGTGTGCAGGGGAAATGGCATTTGTTATTTGAGTAATGTGTCTCTCTCCATCCCCAGAGTCGGTAAACAAACAAGTTATCCATGGAGCAAGCTCTTCCCTTTTGGCATCTTTCAGTTTTTGAGTGGCAGCTCTGCAATGAGGCCACTGGCCATCCCTCAGCTGTGTAGAGAACAGGCATTCTTGGCCCTTGGAGTCCTGCTGTAGCATTTTCAGGATGCCAAGTTATTGGTGGGGACAGGTGCCCAAAATTCAGCATAACACACCTAAGCCTTATTTCCCTTTTTCTGGACACTTCTTGATTTAGGAATAAAAGCCCCTTCCTCCTCCTGGGCTGGGCTGGCCTGTAAACATCTCAGTCTGAGTTTGCTGAGTGTTGCATTCAGGCCATAATTCTGATTGCTCCCCATAAGCCAGGAAACTCACTACTCACTATGCCCACCTTGCTGTTTGCCATCACAGAAATGCACTTGAGTTGCTCACCTGCATTGCTACAGTTAAACCACAGGCTGCAGGTGCAGCACTCTTTCCAGGGTGTGCAGGGGAAATGGCATTTGTTATTTGAGTAATGTGTCTTTCTCCATCCCCAGAGTCGGTAAACAAACAAGTTATCCGTGGAGCAAGTTATCAGTCTGAGTGTTGCTATATTCAGTTGCTAGTTTCCATTCCATATGATGATGTGTGACAGGACAGCTCACCCTGTGAGTTAGCAAGGGGTTTTAAGTAATATGCTTTCTGATGGAAAGGACGACAAAGATTCCTATTATTCACCAGTGAGCCTGGAGACTGAGCTGGTCCAGTTTTGATGACTGAGCCACAGCAATGTCAATCTCATGTGCTCTGTCACTACTTCCCACTGTGGCTTGACGAAAACAGCCTCAAGGGCCCTGCAGAAGCGCTCCAGCCACGCAGTCAGGAGACTTGCCAACTCAGTCTGTCCAAGGCCTCTGTGACATTGGAACAAAAATAGGTCTGTGTGCTAGCCTCAGCTTCTGCATCTGCAAAGAGAAGTGGTTAACAAAAATTAGGGGTAGCAAGTAATGCTTGCAGCTTTCAGTTATAGACATGCACAGATATTGCTGTTGGTGAAAGCATCCACAGAACACCAGGCAACACGCCACTGAAAGAGAGCGGCATTTTTTTTGCTCCTATTCTTCGAAATGCCAGTGGAGATAAACTGATGCTGCTATTTGTGTTTTCCTGGACTATTTCCTTGTGAAGCCTTCCAGTCATTAAATGCTCACTCCATCTTCTTTCAAAAGTGACTCAGCGTGCGGCTGAGAAGCAGCAGCAGCAGGATCACCTGGGAGTTTGTGAGAATGCGGAACCTCAGGCTCCCCGGCTTTCCTGCTGAATCGGAACGCGCTGTTTCACACTCTCCCAGGTGATTCGCATGTGTTTAACTTTAGAAGCACCCGTCTGAAGTTGTGTTTGTCAAACCTAAGTGAACATCAAATCCCTGCAAGGCTCGTTAAAACCTTGCTGGGCCCCACACCCAAGTTTCTGATTCAATAAGTCTGGGTCAGGGTCTGTGAATTTGCATTATAACATTTCTAACTTTCCTGGCGATGACACCACCTGTCCAGGACCATACTTTGGGAACCTCTGGTAAGTCTTCCTTGAGCAGGTGTTTTGTGACACCTTAATTCCCAGGTCACCGAGAATCTAGAGCATCTCTATAATATGTATGCTGGCTTCTTCAATCTCCAGAATTACTGTGTTCTCTTAATCATCTTTGATCTCTTTCTTGATTTCAGTATGTTTCTCTCTCTTTGTCATTAGGAAGCCCTAGTCTCAGAAAGCCAGTTAGTTCTGTGCTGTGCAAAAATGGGAGGATTTCATGAAAATCCTACTTTTCTCTCCCATGTGGTTGTTCTAAAATTCTACCTGTTTCTTCATCTGGAGTTACACCGCTGGTCCCTGAGGGGCTTGTTACACTCCTCCTCAGAGCTAGTGAACATTGGCGGCTGGTGTGTAATCTTCTGTGCCTGTTATATGTGTGTACATACCTTGGCATTTACATGTAGAAATATGTTTTGGATTTCTTAGGCCGGGCACGGTGGCTCACGCCTGTAATCCCAGCACTTTGGGAGGCCGAGGCGGGCAGATCACGAGGTCAGGAGATCGAGGCCATCCTGGCTAACACAGTGAAACCCCGTCTCTACTAAAAATACAAAAAATTAGCCAGGCATGGTGGTGGGCGCCTGTAGTCCCAGCTACTCAGGAGACTGAGGCAGGAGAATGGCATGAACCTGGGAGGCGGAGCTTGCAGTGAGCCGAGATTGTGCCACTGTACTCCAGCCTGGGCGACAGAGTCTCTCAAAAAAAAAATATGTTTTGGATTTCTTAAGAAAAAATAAGATCATACTACAAGTATTGCTTGGCAACTTCATTTTATTAATTAGTATCATTTCTTGGGGATATTTTAAAATCTATAAATAGACTCTCCATTCTTTTTAAAGCTGCATAGGCTAGGTGTGGTGGCTCACACCTATTTAATATAATCTCAGTGCTTTGGGAGGCTGAGGTGAGAGAATTGTTTGAAGCCAGGAGTTTGAAACCAGCCTGGGCAACATTGTGAGACTCCCCCAACTCTACAAAAAAATAAAAATATTATCCAGACATGGTGGTGAGCACCTGTAATCCCAGCTATTTTAGAGGCTGAGGTGGGAAGGCAGTTTGAGACCAGGAGTTTGAGGTGACAGTGAGCTATGATTAGGTCACTGTACTTCAGTCTGGGCAACAGAGCGAGACCTTGTCTCTAAAAAAAAAAATAAATTGTAATAAAATAAATTATAAAGGGAATTTACATATATATTTTAAAGCTGGTCAGAGGAAATGTAAGAAAAAAAGAAAAATAGCTGTATAGCTATATTTTATAATATGGACATATCATAGTCTATTTAACTATCTACCTATTGATGGCTACTTACATTATTTCCAATATTTTACTATTACCAGAAATATTAAAGTAGCATTCTCATGAGATTCAACTAAGAAGCTGACCTCCAAAAAGGTTGTGTCAATTTATATTACCATCCCTCACATTGAAAGTGCTTATTTCTAACCTCACCAAGGCCAGCTATTATCAGCCTTTTACATTTTTACCAATATATTGAGGCTATCTCATTCCCTAAATGTGCTTCTACCTGCTGAATGCTTGAGGTTAAACACGTCTTCAAAGATTATCAGCCCATTCCATTTCCCTTTTTAGGAATTACTAATTCAGATTCTCTGTCCTTTTTCTATGGGCTTGTCGGTATTTTTTTGCAGATGGGGGACAGTTAGGAGCAATAGCCTGGATATTAATCTTTGGTCTATTTAAAAAGTCGCAAATGTTTTATCCAAGTCTCTCACCTGACTTCTAATGCAGTCCTTCATTTTATCTTTTGTCATATAAAACTTCTAGTTTTTTTTTCAATTTTTATTATTTTATTTTATTTTACCATAAGTTATTGGGGTACAGGTGGTATTTGGTTACATGAGTAAGTTCTTTAGTGGCGATTTGTAACCTGCCCAGACCTTGGGGGAACTGAACAAATGGGGGCGAATGCAGGAATAAAAGACAAAGACGAAAGAATATGTTTAGAAGAAGGAGTCAGGGGGCACCTTGCCTCTAGTGGACAAGAGCCCTGAGCTTTACACAGCCCTCCATATTTATTAGACAAAAGAGATAGCGAGAAGTCGGGGGCTGGTTTTCAGCTGGCGGTTAGATTCACAGCAGGCTTGCAAGACTGCATTCTTTGAACAATAGGTGCTAGATTTCCCAGTAGATAACTTCAAGGAGCCCGGCACCAGGGAGTGAGGCCCTCAGCAAACCTTTTGGCAGCGGGCACAATGTGAGTTTGCTCACATCCTGCATTCATGATAAACAGTTTGCTGTTTGATCATATAGCCTCCAGTGGAATGGTGAGTTGGTCACAATCACTTTGGCCTTTTTGGCTCCCAACATCTCACCTTTGTGTTTATGTATTAATTGAAAGAATGTAAGGCCAGACTGGGCAGCTCTCATTTTCCGATTGATGGTCCATCTGATTTTACAGACTATGAACAGAAGACAGAGACAAAACATTATTCCAGGACCTACATATAAGATGTTAATGTGGTGCCTTAGATAGGTCCAAGGGTTGAGGCTCTCCAGGCCTTGCTGGAATTCGGTCCAGTCTTCTAAAGAAGGCTGAAAGTCTTATGTTTGCCCATTTAAATTAATAATGTTGTTTTGTAATTCACCAATATCAAAGGTGACGTTGGATGTGAAAGCTCCCTGCAAATGGGCTTTCACAAGGTCCCACGGATACTCACTTCGGTTGTATTCTAAGTTGGTTACACAAATATGAGTGTGATTAAAAGGACAATGCAATTGCTGCTGCAACTGCAAGCTTTGTGCTTGTTCCCTTAACCATAGAACCATGGATTTCAACACTGCCACTTCAGTTTGTAGCTCAGTGTTAATTCCATTCTGAAGTAGCCACGCTTGGTTGGCTGTGTGTGTCCAGTTCTCCACATACTGAGCTGTTTGAATAGCAATATGCAAAGCTACATAGGACATCACAACAGAAGACATTAGTGTGACCAAGGAAACAGTAGCAAAAATTATCATGCCTAAGGCTCTATGGACGTGATGAGTAAGCTAAGTTAGAAGAAGTTTCACAAAATGCAAAGCAGGTGTGGCAGCCCAAGCCTCGGGCAGATTAACAGGAATCCATAGCCCAGGGATACGACCTAAAATCATCAAAGGAGGCCAGGCGTGGTGGCGGGCGCCTGTAGTCCCAGCTACTCAGGAGGCTGAGTCAGGAGAATGGCGTGAACCCGGGAGGCGGAGCTTGCAGTGAGCCGAGATCGCACCACTGCACCCCAGCCTGGGTGACAGAGCAAGACTCCATCTCAGAAAAAAAAAAAAAAAATCATCAAAGTAGAGATATTTTTTGTTGTTGTTGTTTATTTCAATTTCATTTAGTTCTGGTATGATCTTGGTTATTTCCTTTCTTCTTCTGGGTTTGGGTTTGGTTTGTCCTTGTTTCTCTAGTTCCTTGACGTGTAACCTTAGATCGTCTGTTTGTGCTCTTTCGGGCTTTTTGATGTAGGCATTTAGGGCTGTGAACTTTCCTCTTAGCACCGCCTTAGCTGTATCCCAGAGCTTTTGATAGGTTGTGTCATTATTGTTATTTAGTTCGAAGAATTTTTAAATTTCCATCTTGTTTTCATTTTTGACCCAATGTTCATTGAGGAGTAGGTTATTTAATTGCCATGTATTTACGTGGTTTCAAAGGTACCTTTTGGGGTTGATTTCCAGTTTTATTCCACTGTGATCTGAGAGAGTGCTTGATATAATTTCAATTTTCTTAAATTTATTGAGGCTCATTTTATGACCTATCATATGGTCTATCTTGGAAAAAGTTCCATTGCTGTTGAATAGAATGTGTATTCTGTGGTCGTTGGATGAAATGTTATGTATAGATCTGTTAAGTCCATTTGTTCCAAGATACAGTTTAAATCCATTGTTTCTTTGTTGATTTTCTGTCTTGATGACCTGTCTACTGCTGTCAGTGGAGTATTGAAGTCCCCCACTATTATTGTGTTGCTGTTTATCTCATTTCTTAGGTCTGTTTGTAATTGTTTAATAAATTTGGGAGCTCCAGTGTTAGGTTCATATATGTTTAGGATTGTGATATTTTCCTATTGGACAAGGCCTTTTACCATTATATAATGTCCCTCTTTGTCTCCTTTAACTGCTGTTGCTTTAAAGTTTGTTTTGTCTGATATAAGAATAGCAACCCCTGCTTGCTTTTGGTGTCCATTTGCATGAAATGCATTTTTCCACGCCTTTACTTTAAGTTTATGTGAGTCCTCGTGTTAGATGAGTCTCCTGAAGGCAGCAGGTAGTTGGTTGGTGAGTTTTTATGCATTCTGTGGTTCTGTATCTTTTAAGTGGAGCATTTAGGCCATTTCCATTCAATGTTAGTATTGAAATGTGAGGTACTGTTGCATTCATCGTGCTCTTTGTTGCCTGCCTACTTTGTTTATTTTTGTTTTTTTGTTTTTGCTTTTTAACTTGTATTTTTGTTTTATAGGGCCTTTGTGATTTATGCTTTAAAGAGGTTCTGTTTTGATGTGTTTCCAGGATTTGTTTCAAGATTTAGAGCTCCTTTTAGCAGTTCTTGTAGTGATGGCTTGGTAAGGACAAATTCTCTCAGCATTTGTTTGTCTGAAAACGACTGTATCTTTCCTTGACGTATGATGCTTAGTTTCACTGGATACAAAATTCTTGGCTGATAATTGTTTGGGGAGGCTGAAGATAGGGCCTCAATCCCTTTTAGCTTATAGGGTTTCTGCTGAAAAATCTGCTGTTAATCTGATAGGCTTTCCTTTATAGATTAGGTTACCTGGTGCTTCTGTCTCATAGCTCTTAAGATTCTTTCCTTCATCTTAACTTTGGGTAACCTGATGACAATGTGGTTAGGTGAAGATCTTTTTGCAATGAATTTCCCAAATTTGTGCTTCTTGTATTTGCATGTCTAGGTCTCTAGAAAGGCCAGGGAAGTTTTCCTCAATTATTCCCTCAAATATGTTTCCCAAGCATTTAAAATTGTCTTCTTCCTCAGGAACACTGATTATTCTTAGGTTTGGTCATTTAACATAATACCAGGCGGTCTTGGAGGCTTTGTTCATATTTACTTATTCTATTTCTTTGTCTTTGATGGATTGGGTTAATTTAAATACCTTGTCTTCGAGCTCTGAATTTCTTTCTTCTACTTGTTCAATTCTATTGCTGAGATGTTCCAGAGCATTTTGCATTTCTAAAAGTGTGTCCAAAGTTTCCTGAATTTTTTTTATTGTTTTTTCTTTAAGCTATCTATTTCCTTGAATATTTCTCCCTTCACTTCTTGTATCATTTTTTGGATTTCCTTACATTGGCCTTCGCCTTTCTCTGGTCTCTCCTTGATTAGCTTAATAACTAACTTCCTGAATTCTTTTTCAGGTAAATCAGGGATTTCTTCTTGGTTTGGATCCATTGCTGCTGAACTAGTGGGAATTTTGGAGGGGGGTTGATCAGCCTTGTTTTTTCATATTACCAGGGTTGTTTTTCTGGTTCCTTCTCATTTGGGTAGCCTGTGTCAGAGGGAAAGTCTAGGGCTGATGGTTATTGTTCAGACTTTTTTGTCCCACAGGGTGTTCCCTTGATGTAGTACTCTCCCTCTTTTCCTGTGGATGTGGCTTCCTGTGAGCTGAACTGCAGTGATTGTTTCCTCTCTTCTGGGTCTAGCCACTCAGTGAGTCTACCCAGCTCCGGGCTGGCACTGGGGGTTGTCTGCACAGAGTCCTGTGATGTGAACCATGTATGGGTTTCTCAGCCGTGGATACCAGCGCCTGTTTCAGTGGAGGTGGCGGAGGGTGCAGTGGACTCTGTGAAGGACCTTAGCTTTGGGGATTTAATACTCTATTTTTGTGATGGTTGGCCTTCTGCCAAGAGGTGGCATTTTCCAGAAAGCATCAGCTGTACTAGTGTGGCAAGGGACCAGTGGTGGGCAGGGGCCCTAGAACAAACTGAAGGGTTGGTCTCACTCCCACCATGCCCCACCACGAACAGCCCTGAGTCTGTTTCCGGGTGGAGGGCAAGTCGGACTTGAAAACTTGCCCCAGGCTTTCCACCTCCCAGCTGCCAAAGAAAAGGGCTTTAGTTCTTCCCCCGTCTGTGAAGTCTGCAAGCCGGATTCACGCCCTTCCCCGAGTTCTGGCCAGGAGGCTTCTTGCCCCGTGCAAATTGTAACAAAGTTCAGCTAGAGAAGTCCTCCTTCCTATGGAGTTTTATCTCCTGCTCCTCTGCCACCCTCCTGATGGATCCCTGTGGTACCAGGCAGGAATGGGCTGCTTGGGTATCCAGCGAGCTCCCAGCGCCTTTCTGCTGCTTCCTCTACCCTTGTATTTTGCTTGGCTCAGCTCTCTAACTTGACTCACCTCCAGGTAAAGTCAGAAACTTCTCCAGTGAGGGGTGTGTGTTCGGGAGAGGAGGGTCTCCCTTTCCCACTTCCACATTGGGGCACTCACAGTATTTGAGGGTCTCCTGGGTCCTACAGGAGCAGTCTGCTTCTTTCAGAGGGTCTGTGGGTCCTCTCAGGATTGCTAGTCTGTTCTTGCAGTCAATCTGGAGCTAAAATTCACAATGCAAGCCTTCGCATGCTGCTCTGTTTGGAGCTGCAATCTAGTCCTGCCTCTCGTCTGTCATGATCCCTCCACCAAAGCTTCCAGTTTTTATATAATCTATATAAAGTTTCAGTTGAATTCATGCATTGCTACCAATCAGTTTCTTCTATCTGCATTATTTGGAGGAAAAGCACTCTCTTGGATGTGAATGAAAAGAATAGAGAAACTTGTAAATAAAATTGAGTAGGGAAATAATGAGATAATGTAGCTCCCACCTTCCCTTTTCCTTTTTCTGTAATAGCTCCTGTATCTTTTAGCATGGAATTTTGGTTTGGTGGGAGGTTTAGAAAAATAAGTGCACAGGTTTAGGTGATTTGCATATTTTATGAAAGAGTTGAAATGAAGTCAAACGTGAATGCTAATGGGAGACATTTCTCCAGGGGCCTCTTGTTTCTGCACATATTACAAGCAGCAGAGCTGGCTGTCTTTGCTCTGGATAATCTTTTCAAGGATGTTTGCATGAGATCAGCCTTGGAAAACAGAGGTAGTGTCTCCCTCCGGAGGAAATGACTGGTTTGTTTGCTGTTCGGTACAATAAAGATCATGTTTTCCCCTAGGCAAAGCTCAGCAGGTTTACTTATGGCCCATAATAAAAGATTGGGGTTTCCTAAACTCAGGGCTCCTCTCCTGTAACACACCCTGTATATGGAGTTGTCACCTGGCTCTGCTTGTCTCCCATGAATTGGGACTTGGGGAACCAGCACAAGAAAATGATGGTGCTCAGGCTACTGCTATTGCTATGAGTAATTAACCACCCTTTATCTCTAACCCAGGAATCTCACATCTTCTGCCAGCATCCTGAAACTATGGCAGACTCACTTGTTAACTTTGCAAATAAGGTCAAATTTCAGAACCTTCACAGCTCCTGATAGTCACCGTGTAATAGAAGATTAAAAGACAAGCTCAGCTCTTGTTCCAGTCAGCCTCATTCCTCTGCCTACAATACAAAAGTCACTCAATCATATTCTTGTCTTAAATTGAACAGTCCTTACATGGTTAAGAAAAGGAGAAATTCATTGTAAGGAATGTTTACATTTTGTTTATAATTCCTGCAAGTGTAATGTTTCAAAAGGTTTTCCTGTGGCTGAAGTACATTTACCCTGTGTAGCTCTAGAGAAATGAACTTACAAACTGAAAAATTTCAGCTCAGTATATAAAGAAAAACAGATTTTCACAATTAGATCTATCCCAAAGAGAATAAATTTTGAGGTGATAAGCTCACTGCTGGCTTAGATCATCACTTATGGGACCTCTAATGGGGCAGGGATCAGACTAGATGTGTACAAAGATCTCTTCCAACTGAAGCTGCTACTGTGGAGGACGTTGTTTTCAGTGGACTCTCTAATCAGATTTATTTTCATACCAAGAAATGAAGAAGGTGAGCTGGGGGATGCAGCTGGGACTCAGAAGACTGCACGTGATAGACTCATGAGCTGAAGATCTCGTGCTTAGTCTGGAGAAGCTCATCAAGTCTAGCTCACTTTGGAGTAAGTTGGTGCTGGAGAATGAATTCATGCTAACCAAATTCACCAAGAGCCTGATTTACAAATGAGAGAGCCAAGGCCTTAAGTTTAGAGCAAAAGACAAACTTCCAATGACTTTAGTTTTCTTGTCCAATATCTAGGGCACCTTCCCCTCTCCACCTGCTGTGTACACAGGAGAAATAATCACTCCACACCCGACTGAACATTTTCTAACCTTATCACTGTGGCAGAAACTGGCTACTCTTCCTCCTGGGTAGACAGCCAGGCTGTATTTCCCCGCTGCCCCTGCAGTGAGAGGTAGCCATTGGAGCCGGCGCAGGCCAATGGACTCTGCACTGGAGTGACACATGCTGCTTCCAGGCCTGTCCCTCAAACCTCCCACATGTCCTCTGTCTGCTCTTCTCACTTCCAAGGAGTGTGACCATCGTGGAAGCCCCAGGTTAGCAATGGCAGATTGGGAGGCATCGATGGGAGGAACCTGGGTCCCTGACTTAAAGCATCATGGATTTGGACTTTCCGTTATTGAGAAATAAACTTCCATTGTGTTTAAGCCTTTATTTGATTGTTTATAGTTTGTTATAGGAACTGCCATCTTTTCATTAAAACACTGATGCTGCCTCCTGTCCCTGGAATGCTTGTAACCCTGCCCTGCTTCCCCAGGGTAACCCCCACTTGGCCTTTAAGTTCATCTCTGCCGTCACACCCTCCAGGAAGCCTTCTCTGAGCACCCCAATCCCTCCACCAACGGTTTGGTGTCTCCAGCAGAAGCTGCACAGCTGCCCTCTGCCTGCCCTCTCCTTCCTCCTGTTAGAATCCCAAGACTCCCATGCAGCTAGAAGCACTCGTGTGATCCAGTGCCGGTCAATAAGATGTAAGAGGAAGCAGCTGGGCAGAGATTCTTAGGAATCTCCTTTTAAAAAGGAAGAGATTGGCCTCATTTCTGCCTTTTACCCTTTTTCTATGTGCTTGCCTACTTCCTGCCTGGGACTCCTATGCAGCACCTGCGAATGGGGACACATATTACAACTCTTAGGCTGAAACCCACGTGCTCAGGCAGAGTAGAAGGAAGTCCTGGGTTCCTGAAGGCATCATGGAGCCACCATGTCCGCCCTGGGCTACCGACCTCCTTTCTCCTGTTGTGTGGAGAATATGAACCCCGGTGCTTGAGCCCTGTGGTCGGGTTTCTTTTGGGCACAGCTGAAAGTAATCTTAACTAGACGAGCTCCTCTGTGAGTGCTCCCAGGCACCTGGCTGCCCTCCGCGGTGCCTATCGAAACACGCATCGCACTCGCATCATCTGGTTATGTGTCTGTTTCCCTGGCTTGTTGAAGGCACGGGGCAAGCACTCAATAACTGTGGTGACAGGGACGTTGCTGTGTCTCCTCATCCTGGACCTGAGGAAAGGAAAGGTTTCCCTGGAGCACACAGAAAATCCCAGTGGCATCCCCGCCCCATCTCCTCTATCAGTGGAGCATCAGCTCTGCGATCACTGAAGTCTTTCAGGCTCTCACTTCCTCTGATTCCACCTCATAGCCAGTAAATGTCCACACCAAGGAGGATATGAAAGTACGAAACATAGCCCTGGTCCTTCCATCGAGGAAGTCAAGGAATGCATGCAGGACGACAACTAGCACTTGCACTGCACTTCTTATGCCCCAGGTGAAATGCACATAAAATTGACCATTTTAAAGTGAACAATCAGTGGCATTTAGTACATTCACAATGTTGTCCCACCACTCCCTCTCTGTAGTTCCAAAACATTTTCATCATCCCAAAATGAAAACTTGTACCCATGAAGTAGCCACTTCCCATTCTCCCCTCCACTCGGCCCCTGGAAAACACCAATCTGCTTTCTGTTTCCATAGATTTACCTAGTCTGGATATTTCATATAAATTGAATTACATAATATGTGACCTGTGTCTGGCTTCTTTCACTTCACATAATGCTTTTGAGGTTTAACCACATGGTGCCATGCATCAGTTCTGCATTCCTTTTCCTGGCTTAGTAATATTCCATTGTTTGTACATACCACAGTTTGTTTATCCATTCATCCATCTATGGACACAGGCATCATTTTAAGCACTTGAAATATATTAACTCACTGAATCCTCACCACAGAGACAGATGCAGTTATTGTCCCTAAATTATTATAGAGTAGAAACTGAGGCACAAATAACGTGCCTAGGATCACACAGCTATTAAGCAGAATAAGGACTCCAGTCCAGGCAGTCTAGTACCAAAGGCCTTCCTTGTAATCGCTGTGCTTTACCACCTCTCAGAGAACAACCACAGGGACTAAGCAGTCTAGTGAAGCTTCAAATGCTGTACGTTTCAGAGAATGGGGAGGTCCCTGGCTGTCACAGAAGCTTCCTGGAGAAGTAGGATCATGTAAGTTCTAACTCAGGGCAGGTCAGGGTGATGTGAGTGACCAACTCACTCGGAACACAGACATTCATGGGTGTTCAGTAAAACCGGTTCTAGAACCAGTGATGACTTCAGCCCAAGGATCCCACAAGGGAAAGTGCTTGTCTTTGCCTGCACAGCACAGAGCATTCTGGGCAGAGTTCTGGACCCAAGCTTCTTTCAAATACCTTATAAACAGCAACAGAAGCTGGCTGTATCTTCTGTCTGGCTGCATCTGTCTAACAGTTTAGAGAGTGAGACATTTCCTTCCTCTTTAATCCAACTATCCTTGGAAGACTTCCCAAAAAGCAATGCACCTTGGAGAAGTTTAATGCCGTTGAGGAAAGTGGTTTCCAGGAGAGAGGGGAGTCTGTTCCATGAACTGTGATACAAGGGAACATCTTAAACTCTTAAACTAAGTCCTCAGTCTCCTAGGAAATCATTACGATTTTCTTCCTATAGATCAGGGCTCAGGACACCCTACTGCATGCTCTTCACCCCTCCACCAGAGTTCCTAAAGTCCATGCTCACGGATCCTGGGAATCAAGGAGGTTGGAGGATGCAGGCAAGCCTCATCAAGACTGCCTGGGACCAACCCTGCAGTCCTCCTTCCCTAGGCCCACTCAGCCCAGCTGGCCAGCAAAGGCAGGCAGGGCCTCCTTGTCCACACATGAGAATGACCTGCAGCTTTTCTTTGTCTAGGCTGAGGTCAAGGATTCCCATTGCAGCTCTAGGGTGAGGGTAAAAGTTTTTGCAATTCAGTTCCTAGGAAATCTTTAAAATTAGGTCTGAGATGAGTCTGTCAGTAGTAGATTAGGTAGAGAACTTTTATACAGTTGAGGGTGAACCGTCTGGAGGGTGAACTGTCTGGTCCGGTTCTAGAACTGGGAGTAGTACCTTGGTGCCTAGCAACACATCTTTGAGAACACGCAACCAGGCTTGGTATGTGATAGAGTGTGTGTGTGTGTGTGTGTGTGTGTGTGTGAGAAAGAGAGTGTGTGAATGTGTGTGTGTATGAGTGTGTGCAAGTTGTGAGTGTGTGTGAGTATAGTGTGTGAGCATGTGTGGGTGTGTGT
The DNA here is from genome assembly GCF_000001405.40 of Homo sapiens. Classification (NCBI taxonomy): domain Eukaryota; kingdom Metazoa; phylum Chordata; class Mammalia; order Primates; family Hominidae; genus Homo; species Homo sapiens. The sequence goes on along the minus strand of NC_000012.12, from coordinate 31,017,838 downwards.
GAGTGTGTGTGTGGGAGCATGTGTGCGTGTCAGTGTGTGTGTGAGTGTGAGTGTGTGAGAGTGTGTGTGTGAGTGTGTGTCTTTGGATACACAGACATCCTGGAGCATATGCATATTTCCTTTCTCATTCAAATAAACCCTACAGATAACAAAGTGCTTTAACATCCGGTCTCTGCAGCCTTCCACAGGAGGCAAGGCAAGCACTATTAAGCCCGCTATAAACAGGTCAGCTGAAGCACCCCCTCAGTGACTTGCCCAGGGTCACAGGAAGAATGAGTGGCAGAGCCCCGAGCCTGTGTGCTCCCTTCTGTGCCGGGCTGCTTCTCCTGGGCATGGCTGTGCCTTGTGCATGGGACATTTCTCCTCTGATGTGCCCTGGGTGCCTTAAGCAACTTAGATATTGCTCAGGTAGGGTGAGGGGAAAATGTATTTTCAGGTTGTATTAGTCAAACCAAAATAGTGTAGACTAGATGACTTTAAAAACATACATTTATTTTTCACAGTACTGGAGGTTTGGAAGTCCAAGTTCAAGGTGTCAGTTAGATTGGTTCCTGGTGAGGGCTCTCCTCCTGGTTTGCACGCAGCCACATTCTCTTTGTGTCCTCACTTGGTGGGTAGAGAGAGACACTGTTCTCTTTTCTTACCAGATCCATCATGAGGGCCCCACCCCATGGCCTCATATAACCCTAATTACCTACCAAAGGCCCATCTCCAAATACCATTACATTGGTGGTTAGGGCTTCAACATAGGAATTTGGGGAGGACACAAACATTCCGTGTACAGCATGGGTGGAAACCCATCTCTTCCTCACCACCTGTGGGGACCACACACTGCAGCCATCAAGACAGTGGGCATGTTCTCCTTACAACTCGATCCGACTCCCCTAGAAGAGCGGACAGGGAAGGAGGGCAAAGCTGGGAGAGTTGAAGAATATTACGAAGAGAATAGGGTAGCCAGATTTAGCAAATAAAAATATAAAATGCCTAGTTAATTCTGAATTTCAGATAAGAAGAAATAATTTTTTAGCATAAGTATGCCCTTAACTAAACATGGCACAGGACATGCTTATGCTAAAGAAATTATGTATTATCTAATAATAAATTAATATTTTCTCCAATGCATATTAACTGTGCATCCTGCATTTATCTGGTAACCCTAAAAGAGAAGGCTCAGACACTCTTGAGGCAAGCCAATGGATTCCAGGAGGGACTATTGCTGGGCTTCTGGGCCCATGCTCCCTTTATAACACTTAACGGTTTTTAGCCTCTTTCCACCCTCCTTCCCTCTCTTCCTCCCTGGCTCCCTTCCTTCCTTCATTCCTTTCTTCTCTTCTCTCCTCTCCTCTCCTTTCCTCTCCTCTCCTTTCCTTTCCTTTTCTTTTCTTTCTACCAGCTTTTCCTAGCTCTTTATTGTGGTAAAATAAACCTAAGCTAAAATTTACCGTGGAAACCATTTTGAAGCACACAGTTCAGTGGTGTTAGCACATCACACTGCTGTGCAGCTGTCGCCACCAGCCATTTCCAGGACTTTTCCATCATCCCAACCTCAAACTCCACCCATGAAACACAAGCTGCCCAACTCCCGCCTTGCGTCCCCATCCCTGGCGGCCACTGCTTCTGCTGCTATGAATCTGACTGTTCCAGGCACCTCACATAAGTGGACTCATACAATATCTGTCCTTTTGCGTCTGACTTCTCTATTTAATTTTTTTAAATAAAACTTTTTTAGAGACGTGGTCTCGTTATGTTGCCCAGGCTGGTCACGAACTCCTGGCCTCTGGTTATCCTCCTGCCTCACCATGCCTGGCTTTTTAATTTAATTTTTAAAGGCAGGTAGGAACTAAGTGGGCCACAGAGGAGCTGCCTGCAGAGGTGAAGACAGTGTTGGTTGTGCTGAGAGAAGCAGGAAAGCAGGTCAGGGTGTAGGGCTGGAAGGCAGGGGCAGTTCTGGAAGGCAGGGGCCCCGGTTCTGGGAAGCCTCGCCCAGCTCTTCCGCAGCTGCCAACCCTCCCGGAGTAACGAGTGCCTGTCAAACAAATAATGGGGGTTGATATTGGGACATGGCTGCTGGCTTTATATTAATAATTGTAGTAATAAAGTTGATCGCAGGTAGGATGGAGGAGGCACCTGCCTGGTGAGGTGAGACTATGGTCAGATTCACGGAGGCATCTGCCTGGTGAGATGAGACAATGGTCGGATTCACTGAGGCTCCTGCGTGTCCCGGATTTCCTGCTGGGGGAGGATGTGCTGCTCAGCGGTTCCCACACCTGCTTCTATGGGAGAAGCAAGAAGAAGTCAGAAGGGTGGGCGAAGAAGTCAGAAGCTTCTGTTATTGGTTCGGGGAGATGCTGTGTCGGGGGCACCAATTATACGGGGAACAAACCGGTTGCCAACTCCTGACCCTTGGAGTTGACCCCACACCGCTTAAACCTCTGCGCTGGTTCCCCAGGGGCCCACAGTGAGGTCTGTAACTCAGGGAGAGGCGCTGGAGCGGGGTGTGGGAGAGCGGTGTGCAGGACGGGCTCCATGCACTTGGAAATTATAAACTGCCTTATGAGACAGGGGTACGGTGTGTGTGCATTTTCCTGGGAGACTCCATAGTTTTTACCACATTGTGTAAAGCAACGCTGTGCAGTAGAAATATTACGCCATACACAATACATATGTACAGTTTTAGTTGTCAAAGAAACTGAAAGAAGATCTTGATGAACATGGATGGCACAGATGTGAGGAAAGCACCATTATTAAAGAATATGCGTTTATGTAATGCATTAAAAGGTAACAAAATGGATAAGCAGGTAACACAATAGCAAAGACCGAGAGTGAATTGCAGTCATCCACTGGGGAACTGAGGAGTCAGGGTTTCTCATTACAAAACTCCCTGATGGAAGACTATTATTTATCAACTATTTATTGTCTTTCCACTAAACAAGAAGTGATTGTCATCTTTTCAGATGAGCGCCACAGGCTTTGCAAAAGATAATTGCCAATTAACCTTTGTGCCTGGATTTTCTAATTTCTAAAAATATTACTACATGACTCCAAAGTTTGTTATAAAGACAAACAATTGACATGATGTATACTAAAGTAACAAAAATGTTGACCACACAGGAGGGGCTGGTTACTGTCAGACTCCCTTGTTCTGTCAGTATCAAGAAAACATCTGTCCTTTAAGGTTTACATAAAGACAAAGTATCATGATGAGGTATCTTAAAATTGGTAGTACTAACAAAAATTTTGAACTCCCAGTTGTGCAATTTTAATGTGTGAAAACAATAAAACATACTGATAAATAACAAAAGCCCTATAGTCAGACAACATAGGTTCAAGTTTCGGCTTGATCTCAACTAGGGTTTCAATGTTGAAAAAAAATGCCATGTGGTCTTTCCAACTTCATTTCCTTATGTAACATTGGAGATATTAATAAATTCACTGTGATTAAGAGTTAAATGGAAGAGTTATTGAGAAGGTGTTAGAATGGTTCTAACATACATGGGTATTATGAGCCAATATTTGTAGTACCATTGTAGCATAAGGAAATACCATCTGCTGAGAGAGGCACAATAATGATTATCTTCATGATAATAGTTTAAGAGCTACCAGATACAGAATGAAGGGGCTGTAAAATGATAATGTTACGATTGATTTTGATGCTTATGCCAGAATCCATTCTAGGATAGCTCCTGCCTGAAAAGAACTGGGACTCATTTCTTTGGAATCACAGGACACTGAGTGTGGCAAAAAGAAAAGAAAAATATGGAAATCACGTAAGTGATTTTAAAAGTAAAAAGTAACAGAAGAAATTAGTGATATATTTTATTTAATCCAATATATCCAAAATATGGTCATTTTAGCATGTAATCAATATAGATTTTAATGAGATAGTCTATGTTCTTTTTTCCTAAGTCTGAAATTCGGTGTGTATTTACACTGACAGCACATCTCAATTTAGACTAGCCACATTTCCAATGCTGAGTGGCTGCATGTACCTGGCGGCTACCATACTGGACAGCACAGGTCTAAGGATTTCATTCCTGGTTCAAGACCAGACTCCTAGCCTTGGTTTTGGGTGTTTTTCACAAACTGGCCTCTCTTTATCATTCTTTTTCCTGGTACTTCCTCAAGGATGACTGTGTTCCCACCACTCAAGACCACCTGCCGTTTCACTACATACCTTTGTTCAAGCTGTTTCTTTTACCTGGGATGCTCCCTCGTTTTGTTTTGTTTTGTTTTGTTTTGTTTTGTTTTTTGAGACAGGATCTTACTCTGTTGCCCAGGCTGGAGTACACTGGCATGATCATGGCTCACTGCAGCCTGGATCGACCTCCTGGGGCTCAGATGATCCTCTCACCTCATCCCTCCTGAGTAGCTGAGACTACAGACCTGTGCCACCATGCCCAGCTAATTAAAAAAAATTTTTTTTTTTTTGGTAGAGATAGGAGTCTGTGTTGACCAGGCTGGTCTTGATTCTTCCACCATGGCCTCCCAAACTTCTGGGATTATAGGTGTGAGCCACTGCTCCCTACCTGGACTGCTGTCTCTGCACCTTCTCCCTGGGCCTGGTAGAGAGGCACACATTCTGCTAAGAGGCTTTTCCTGACTTCCCTAACCCTAGAAGGGATTTGTCCCTCCTTATCATTGTACTCATGGCTGGATTAAAGTTTAATTGTTTTTGTGGCTATTTCCCTGGCTGTAGTGTAGTGTCTTATTCATCTTTGTTGTGATCATGGTCTGCACAGAAGAGAGGATCAGTAGATGTTTGCAGACAGAATGAATAAACCACCCATCAGTCTCTTAATGCTTGAATGGGCTTGCTACTCCCTTGCTTAGATTTGTGTCTGTACAATCCTCTCACGTGGATAGTACAGTAAACACACACAGACACCCTCAGATGTGGTAACTAACAAGAAATTCATGTTAAGATGTGCACAGAAAATATCTTGTATCTTTATCCTCCGCCTCATCTTACAGATGGGAAAACTGAGGCACAGAACTAAGTTAGAATGACCAGCAAATTTCCATCAGTATAAATACAAAGAAGGGGAAAGGAGAATATTCTGAAAACGGGTGTGGTGGTCTCACACGATCGGGTTCCTCGGATGGTGGAGGATCAGTTGGCCGTGCCTTGGTTATCTGACAGGATAGAAGAGAAGTGGGAGGTGAGGAGTAGCTCCTGGGTCCTCATGAGTATTCGAGGCAGGTTCAGGTCTGAGAAGCCAAGGATATCCTTCCTGGAAGCCTGAGTTAGGAGGAGGAACTCACTGCTGGAGAAAAAGTTGAAGAGGAAGGAGGACGGACATCTCAGATCATGGGAAGTGCTGGCCTGAGCAGGCAAGGAGAGAACCATCGGGGTAGAAGAAGGGGCTGAGGAAGCCGGCAGGGGGAGCAGAGGAGTAGGTGCCAGCATGGTGAAGAGGTGCAGTGCATTATGTATGATACACATGCATCATGCACCATGTGTGTTGACTGTTGTGTGAAATGTATTTATTGGTTTCCAAGGGGCAGGGGAGAGGCTGGAGGGAGGGCAGCAGCTGTCCCACCACCAGGAGAGCTGCTCTGGCGCCAGCCTCCCCATCCTGGGGGTTCCCTGCTACAAGTCTTCAGCTCTGCTTTGTCCCCCAGAGGCCAAAATAGCGGTGCACAGCCAGGAGAGACAATGAGGAGCAAGGCACGTGGCTGGGCTGGAGGGCTGATGGTGCAGGGACAGTCAGCCTTGGGCCATCAGGCCTGGCTCTGTCTGTCCCGCCAGCTTCGGGCTTTTTATAAAGAGGCTGTGTTAGGTGAGCCTGGAGTGAGCTGTGCATGGACCTCATCTGACTGTGGCATGCCAACCCTTTGCAGAGGTGGTCTAAGGAGACGGGGACCCCGGACTGACCTGGGCTTGAATCTCCCCAGCAGCTGACTGGCCCTACCCACAGCCCACATCAAGTAATGGGAGAAGCTGACCAGGGCAACTGAAAAAGGAGCCCAACCCAGCTCTGTTAAACTTTTCTCTAGCACTTTCTTCCTTCTCAAGCCTTTGCCGCCATACACCTGAGATTGTCCCTGTGCCACCCCAAAGGTTTGTGGCCTTTGTAAGCTGGTATAGGGAGGACAGCATGGGGGCCTGTGTTAGTTTCATGGAATCACCAATGGGTTTTCCTTTTTTTTTTGGTGGCACAGGGGTCCTGTGCCCATACTGTGGGCAGTGTGACAGAGTCCCTGAGGGCAAGGCCATAGGCCTGGTGGCTGGCATGCGCTGTGATGGGAGGTGTCTGGTTCCCCGCAGGAGGCGAGTGGGTTGTAAGTAGCTGATGCCGGGCTGCAGTGAGAGTTGCCTCTAGTGTAATTTTTGATTTTGGGAGTGCCTTGGCTGGGGCTGGGAGGGATGGAAGTGGTTAAATGTGGCCTCATTGGCTGATTGGCATTTCTTGAGTTGGATACTAATTCCTTCAGGAGGTCAGAGAAGCTCCCCAGCGGCACCCCTGATCTTGACTTTGGAGGCCAGGTTAAATCTTTCAGGGGGACTACATAAGTCATGAGTATTCTGCATTGCCTAAAAGACAGCCTCCTGAGTAGCTGGGATGACAGGCATGCATCACCACACCTGGCTAATTTTTGTATTTTCAGTAGAGATGGGGTTTCACCATGTTGGCCAGGTTGGTCTCAAACTCCTGACCTCAGGTGATCTGCCCTCCTCGTCCTCCCAAAGTGCTGGCATTACAGGCATGAGCCACAATGCACCTGGCCTGGTTGTTTCTGTTGAATAAGCAAGAGCAAGAACAAATTTATTCCTCAGATCTTATATGAAAATGTACAGTAAGTGTTTCTTTTTGCTGTTGTCAATCTGTTTCTGTTCTGTTCATTGAACTTTGTTCTTAGCTCCTCTTGCCAGCTCACAATTTAACATAGGTGCTCTCCTAACCCCTCTGTTCGATCTTTATAATACAACATCATTTCCCACCTCCAGGTCTTGGTGGTGGGAGTGCTTATCTTTCTCATGAAGGGTTGGAGGAGTGGAGGGAGGGCCTGTTGGGATCTACTTTGATTTTATTTATTTTTTTGAGACAGGGTCTCACTCTGCCACCCAGGCTGGAGTGCATTGGCATAATCATGGCTCATTGCAGCCTTGACCTCCCAGGCTTAAGGGATCCTTCCACCTCAGCCTCTCATGTAGCTGGGACTGCAGGCACGTGTCACCACACCCAGTAAATTAAAAATTTTTTTCTTTTTAGAGATGGGGTCTCACTATGTTGCCCAGGCTGGTTTCAAACACCTGAACTCAAGTGATCCTCCTGCCTCAGCCTCCCTAAGTTGAGCTTACAGGTGTGAGTCACCATGCCCAGCCTGAGATCTGCTTTAAAGTTGCCCACCCTGAGCCTACCCCAGCCTACACTTGACCAAGGGCCTCACATGACTCTGTTCACTCCACATATGGGAAGTGCCTGAACTCAGAAGTAATGATTCTGATTTATATCCAGGTTGGAGTATAATTAGTAGTTGTGATTTAATGTCAATGTGGCCTGAAACTTTGCCATCTTCTCCGTCTCTGTTTATGTGTATTTAAATGGTCAGCTCCCAAGGTAGGGTGGTGACATGGCATCAGAATTTGACCCCGGGGTCCCTGAGCAAGTCACACCTCTGAGCCTTGGGTTCCTGCACCAGGGGATCATGATGTCATCTCACAAGGGTGTGAGGGGCAAATAACAGCACTTCTCAGGCCCAGCTCACATAGCACTTGGTAGACATCATTTCTTTCCTGCACTCTTCCCTGAGAGAAGTGGGGCCACTCTTACGGAGGCAGAAGTGCCTGGTTCCAGCTCCTAGCTCTGCGGGCAAGTCACTTAGCCTCAGAGGCCTCAGCCTGCTCATCTGTAAAATAAACTAATAACAGTTGTCTTACCTATCTCATACAGCTAGAAGGAGGACTAAATAGAAGAGCAGTCATAGGCTCTTAGGGCTGGAAAGGGCTTTGGATATTATTAGTTTCAACTTTTTGTTTTATAGATGGAAAAACCAAGGCTTAGAGGAGTGAATGATGCCCAGGATGACGCGGCCCGTTAGCAGCATGTGGTCAGGGTGCCGTGATGTTTGGCCTTATGACACTGCTTCGTCTAAAGGCCTACTTGTTTGTTAACTCATAAGCATATGCAGAGAGGCTCACCTTTCTCTGTGTGGCGGTGGACGGACAGATGGCCCCTCTCCTGCCATCTGCTCTGGCTTGTACAAGCCGGGCTGAAGGAGGTCATGTATCATCGCACCAAGGTGGGGTGGCACTTCTGTTGCCGGGCTGAAAACGTGTCTTGCTTGCTGCTTCCCTCCTTCATGGCTCACACAGCCCATATCTGGCTGTTTATGAACGAGATTCCCTCTGTGCCCAGCATCATGCTTGATGCTAGGACACTGCACAGAGAAGTCTGAACAGAGGCTCCTGCCCTCATGCAGCCATTTGTAGCCAGAACAGGCACCCGGCAAAAGGTCAGTGCTCACAGGGTGGGAGAATGCTCTAAGGCTGATGAGGGGTACAGACAGTTGCAGCCACTGCAGAGCAATAGGGGGTCGGCAGGCCTGGAGGAGGAGGTGGGGCTTCAGCTGGCCTTGAAGGCCCTGGATTGGATTGAGAACAGGGCAGAGAAGACAAGGAAGGCTTTTTGGGTAGGAAGATGTGCTGTGAGCAGGGTCTGGAGGCAGAGGTGTGGAAGGCGCATTTGCGAGAACCAAGGTTCATGCTGAAGAGCGGGGAGGCTCCAGGGGAAGAGCATTTTGATTTGCAGGGAGGTTTTATAGTGTTAGTCATTGGGCAGGCAGTGTCTGAGTGATTTAGCTCGTCTAACACAGCGATTGGGGTCATTATTTTGGCTCAGAGCATTGCTGAAAGCCTGGCTTACCTGTCACTGTGACCCTTGGCTTACCCACCTCAAGGATGTAATGGGGCCAGAGGGAGGCAGGTGACCTTCCGAGTCTCTCCTTCTCTTAGAAGCCTGGGTCGAATGGCGCACAGGGAACTCAGGGAAATGGGTGGGAACCCAGTCTTGCTTTAGATTCGCATTGGCCCCTTCTGTGTTGCAGAATGACTTCTCATCTCAGTCACTATCTTAATTTATTGACGAAAACTTGTTTTATGGTCCAGAGCACAGATGGCAGCAGCTCCCTGCCAAAAGAAAGCGTGCCTGCAAATCGGAAAAGCGGGCTGCCTCCCAGGAGGATGGTGGAGGGAGTAGAGCCTGTCTAGCCAGATGCTGCTGCTGGTCCTGGGTGGATGGGCTCCGGGAGGCCAGCAGAGTGGCCCCCTGATGTGCAGGCTGGGGCTGGAGCAGCTGGGGCAGTGGCAGGACCTCCTCACCTCTCTCCACTACCAGCTCCTGACTCATGGCTGCCCTGCTTCAGCCTGGTCTCTTTAGCCTAGCGCATTTAGCCTGGGGCTGCAGGCACCATCCACAGCAGCACAGCACCAATGAGGAAGGACAGGGAAGAGGGCTCTGGGTTCTGGGAGCAGGCATGGCTGTACCACAAGGAGCTCTGTGACTGTGGACATGTTTCTCTGGGGAAACTGTGGACAGGAAGCTTTCAGCAGAGGAACCTGAATTGTTCCATGCATACCTTCAAATATTTAAAGGCCTGTTTTACTTGTTCTTGGTAGATTTCTTGAGCAAAACTAGGACTGATGTGTGTTAGCCACAGGGAAGTAGATTCTTCAGGTAATAAGAAAGAATTCTTGAGTAAAGTTATGCAAAAAAAAAAAAAAAAAGAAAAAAGAAATGGAATAAGTTGTTGGAGGGTGAACACTCAGACCCTGGGAGACCCTGTGTGGCCACCTGCCTCTCTGTGGTTCCAGGGAGCTGCGGCCCTTCTGCCTACTGGGTAGCTTTGACCAAGATGCCTCTGCCCCTTCATGTCTCTCCATGTGGAAGTGGAAGCACCATCCAGTTCTCCCTCCTCCCTGGCCCCCGCCTCTATGGCTGTGAGAATGAAGGAGCTGTGGGGTCCCTGGGGGCAAGGGGCACTGAAAGTCAAAGCAGGGGCACTCCTGGAACTGACATGTTGTCCCTGCTCCCCGAGACGAAGTTCTTGGCAGGTTCATTACTAGCAGGCATGTCAGGCTGTGAAATTAAAGCCTTAAACAAAAAAGTCTTCCCATTCACTAATTTATTAAATGTTATTAAATGTTGGGCCTGGCCCTGGCCCACAGAAAGCATCGGGGAGTGCTGAGCCCTAGCATTTGAAAATCTCCTGGAAGCAAAGAGGGGATGAGGGTGGCAGAGGGGCCAAGGGGTCGGGGTGGGGGCCACCAGTGACACCCAACCCCAGGAGACTGGTTGTCTCCACAGAGAGGCATGAGGCAGTGGTGACCAAAATAGCCAGGGGATATGATGGGCTGTGATGGGGGCTGGGGCAGGTAGGGCAGACGACCTATCCCAGGTCAGTGAGGAGCCAAGGGTGACTGAAAGGGGAGTAATTTGGGGGCCCTGGGGTTTCTGGGAGTGGGGAAAATAGGGTGCACAGAGGGCTTTCTCTGTGGGTTTGTGGGTCTGGGTGTGGCCCTGTACCCGGGCTGTGGTCTGCTCAGGAACCCCCACCTGTCCCCATCACTCATTTATTCATTCCTCAAGCAAATATTTATCTGGTATTCCAGGCATATTCTAGACCTTACAGTGGGGAAAAAAAATGGGTAAGATATGAACCCAGGTCTTGGAAATGCTCGTGTTTTTAGAGAGGGTGGACAGCGAGTCTACACAGAAGCCTAGGAGGGTTCCTAATGTTCTGCTGTGGTCCCAGCCCCAGCACAAGAGGTCACCCCTGGGGAGGGGCCCCCCCTACACCGATGGGAGACTGGTGGCAGCTATGAACGGCTATGGGCAGTGGCTGTCCATGGGTCCTAAGCAGCGTGCAAGTGCGGGTAGAAGCTCAGGAGGGAGGGTAGCTTCAAGGGGAAATCGTGGGCCCCACCCCCAGAGAAATGGGATGTCTGCATGAAATATACCTATGGCAGAAACATATATTAAAACTACAACTCAATATGGTTCAAACAAAACAAGAAAAAAATGCCATAGGGATACTGGGCTAATTACAAGAATTAATAAATGAGGAGTCTGAAGTGCGGGCTCACTATACAGCCATAGCCTGACTGGCCTCAGTTTACCTGCTGTGCATGTGTTGAATGGGCCAGTGGTGATGAGGGAGACCTGAGATGCCCATTGGCTCAGGGCTCCTCCCTATGCCAGGGGCCTGCACCTTCTCCCTCCTGCAAAATCAGGGCAGGGCCCAGACAGGATCATCCTAGGAGGACAACCCAAAGGAATTGCCAAGGGTGAGGCCCCAGTCTGGGGATTTAACCACAAGTACAACAGACCCAAATCCTGGCCCTTGAGGAGGCCATAAGCAAATGCGAGGATGGGAGTTCATCTTCTCAAATTTCGATGTGGGTTTATTTGGAGCCCTGAATTAAAGTTAGTTTGAAATGCCCTCAACTGGGAAAGCAGGCAGGGGAGGCTTGATACTCAGGCTGGCCCCTAGGCCTGCCCCTGCTTGGAGAAGGGCACTGATCAGGCCTGGACCACACTGGGGTGGTTGGCGACTTCTGGTTGGTTGGTGCTGACATTGGCTGGGGCCTGATCCCCTGAGTCACCCTGCCTCGCCCTAGATTCTCCTGCCATAGACTAGATGATAGCTTGGCCATGGCCACTGAGACAACTCTGTGGTTTTGAAAGGGAATTTTCCTGAATGCCACCAGCTAAGCTCTCTGGCTCTGAGCTTTGGCTGTGCTACCACAGGCCTTGCCTCCTTCCTGTACTGGGCGTCCTCCTGCCCTGTTCCTCCCTCTCCCTTCCTGCCACACCCGGCTGACCTCTGCTCACCATTTTCTCCATTCCATGGACATTTTCCCACCACACCAGTGGCTACTCCCACTTGCACTAGGAGCGCTGTGACACCCCAACTTGTGGGGCAGAGGTCAGGCCCAGAGTGCTGAAGTGCTGAAGCTCCTGTAGAAGGTCCTTCCATGTGTCTTTCAGATCCTGGGCTTGGCCTTCTCCATAACCATCACCCAGCACATCCACTGGACTGGTAAGAAGTAGGACGTGTGTGTGGGCTGGCCGGAGTGTCCCCACAAGCCCCTCCCCACTCCCCGCTCCTCTACTGGATGCTCTGTGGAGGCAGAGGATTTGAGCTTTGTGTTGCCAGCCTGCATTCTCCAGATATGACCCCTGCGCCCACCCACCCCTGCCTCAGCCTCAGCCTTCTCAGTGGTGGAGGGGCGGGGAGGAGTTGTCGGCACAGGGAGACCTGGGGCACGGGGCACCTGGATGCCTGCGTCTGTGTCTGCATATTTGCCAGAGATGATGGGGTGGGCTGGGGTGTGCTCTGGAGGAACCCCCACCACCGATGGGTGTCTGTCTCCTGCCCTTCCTCACACTGACATTTTGTTCCCCCCATGGGGTAGGCAGCACAGTGCTTCCGCCTGTGGAGAGACTACCCTTGCGGAGGCTGCTGCTGTCCGTGGCCACTGTGGGGGAGTTGGCAGGGTGGGGTCTGCCTGCTATTGGGCGAGATCCCTTGAGCACCTCGCCAGGCTTTTTATACCTTACAGTGTAACTTCTTAACTTTATTTTACTGTGATTAATTGTTCAGGAATACTACCTCTGAGGTAAGTTAAGCGTTGGCTGTCTGATTGATAACTTTTTACTGTGTTGATTTCTTTAATGGCTTAATTTCTTTTTTCCCTAAGTGTGGGGGACCTGTGGGAATACAGGACCCCCATTCAGTCTCAGTCAGGACAAATCACTATGCAACCCCCACAAGGCTCTCAGATGAGACTCACCAGCCTTCGCTCAGAATGCGTGGAGAGGACACAGGGGTCCTGCCAGTCCTGGCATCTGCAGACAGGAGCCTGGGAGAGGCAGGTGGAGAGAGGAGTGGGAAGGAGGCTAGAGGCAACTCATCACAGGGTGATGGTGTTTGCTAACAGAGCTCAGATGCCAGAGCAGTGGGGGTCCCCTGGGGGCTGGTGAAGTGCTTTGCCAGAAATGCAGCAGAGCTGGCAGGTCCCTGTGCTTTTCACTGAGGAGCAGTTGTTGGGTTTTTCCTTCTTCCTTCCTCCTGCCCTCCACTGCATGGGAGGCCGCCCCTTCCACCACATGCGGGCCTTCTCGAGACAGGCTCTGCACACCCCAGTTCCTTTCACAGACATTCCTGCTAGAAACTCTCAAATTTCTCTCTAGTGTGGATGCTACTCACTTTCTCCCCTTGCTTCTGGGTTGGGAAGCCATCCTTAAGTTTTGCTACTCAGACAGCGACAGAGGACCCCATTGGGCAAGTGGAAGTGGCGCCCCTGATTGTTCCTGCCAGCTTCACCCAGCCACAGGTTGCCTTGCTGAGAGGGAGGGAAAGATGTCCAGTTTGGTCCTATGATCTCTATCTCCTTCCCAGGGTTCATCGACATCAGCAGTGGGTGGGTGGCAATCACATCCTCTGTGATCTCAAAGAGAAGAAATACAGAAAGCCCAAGAGAGATCAGACTGGCCCTAGACTACCATAGCCCCAGGAAGAAAGAGCTGGAGTCATGGCATGCACACAACCGGACGTGTGAGATGAACAGGCAGGGTCAGGTATTCAATGGCAGGATGCACCCCTCAGAACTGAGGCTGGTCTAGTGTAATGTTTTGCAGTTATGAAAAAGTCAAGAATCTATGGGACTCAGCATGCAAAGGTTATCCACTAGCCAGGATCCAGTGCATGTCGCTGGCTGGGGCATTGGTGGGTGGCAGCCCTTCTTCCTACAGTTGGCTCCATACCCTGGTTTCCCAGCCAGACGAGGTCTCTTCTCCAGCCTCCACCTGCCTGTCTGCTCCCAGGGCTGAGTCATGGCCACCCAGCTCCTAGTCACTCCTCTCTTCATCTTTAAGTAACATATAAATTGGGACCAGGAGGATATAACTTTTGATGTGTTCAGGATTCATATTTTTGGCAGGTGGGAGTGGGGAGTAGGCTGGTCTTAGGGTGCTGGATGGGGTAAAGACAGCTTCTCTGAGACAGGAGCCATGGTGCTGATGGAATATGAGAGAGGCACACATTTGAGCAAAACCGCCCTTCCCTAGTCCTCTGGCCGGTCTTGCTGGTAAGGAGTCCTCCCCGGGAACCCCAAAGTGCAGATTCCAGAGCAAACACACTCCTGTAGACAGATGCTCACCAAACAAGTGCTCAAGTCACCCAGTGGGACCTGGAGCATCATGTGTTTCTGATGTGGGTGGAGTGGGTAGGTTTGTTTATGTAATTTTTAGTTTTTGTTAATATCAACAGCAACAGTCCAGTGCATTGGGAGATGTGTGGCCTCCCTGAAAGTCTTGTTTCTGGAGTGCTTTAGGGGCATCCTCTGGCCCTGGAGCCTTTGCTGCAGTGTCTGCTCCCCCAGCCACCCCCCAGCTCATCTGTCCGTTTGCAGAGCCTTGTTCACAGGTCCTCAAACTGCCTTCTTGGCTCACCCAGTGCTTGGCAGTTTCATCATTTGGCCAAGTCTACATTAGGTGGAAGTCTCCATGCATAGAGTAGATGTTCCTCCAAGCCCCTTGCCTGTCCTGCAGAACGGTCCCCACACCTCCCAGAGGGCCACATCCTGTGATGCCAGTGAAGGTGGCTAAGTGTCTCTCCTCTGTGTCTCCTGACTATGATCTCATTGGGGCAGAATTCCCCTGAGTGAATTCCCTCACTGTCTGCTTCCCTTGCCAACATCAGAGTTAGTTCAATCAGGTCTGATGCAAACAATTTACAAACTTGTCTCAGAAAGTCCCTTTGAGTTTGTAGATGATTACAGTAGGATGTCTGATGTGGACTCAGCCTTTCTTTGCAGCCATCTCACAGAAGGGGTGAGCAGGCAGGGGGTGAGAACTGCCTCCGGGCGGCTGGCAGTGGGTGTCAGGGTGCAAATCTCCTCCCCACAGCCCGCAGCTGGAGCGGTGTCACCCTCTCTCCTTCCAACATGGGCCTGCATCTTGGGCTCTCTGGGGAGGTTGCTGCCCTGCCCTAGAACCTCTTGTAGATGTTCTATTTTGACTTGAAACTAGATGGCCATCCCTCCAGGTTTTGGTGGCCAAAGAGCAGTTCAGGTGGATGGAAGTGACTGTCCCTTCCTCTCTGGCCCCTATATAGGTGGAGGTGCTAACTAGCAGGGACATGGCACAGGATGGGAGCTGGGTGCCAGGTGCCTGGGGTCCATTCTTTGTCCCGCAGACCCTCAGAGTCTGGCCTGCCCCTCTGCTGCAGTGAGGCAGTAGTCCAGGATGGGTCCCTGCTCCAAACGGGCACTCTGAGGAGGCGGGGTCTGAGAGGCATCCCACTGCCCTACTGCAGTAGAAGTCTCGCAGTGGCCTTGGTTGGGTCCTGGTGTATGGGGTTTCCTTGGCTGTCACAGTCACAGTGACACATGGTAGATGAGAGCAGCTGAGAATTCCCCTTGTCCTGGGTCATTGCTAAACCCTATGTCCCCGGAGAGGAGGCAGGCATAAAGAACGAGTGTGCATGTGGGTCTGACAGCAGTTGGAAGTGGGCATCTTGAAACCCCTCTGTGTGTGGAGCTCTACCTCCTGTCCTCAAGGGGGTGGCCAGGTCCACGTGAAATTGTCCCAAGGCATCAGCCTCCAGGGCCCCATCCTGCAGCCGCCATGTCCCAAAGCCTGCAGAGACCACTCTGTGTCTGAAGGGACCCTCTGACACAGGTCCCACTGGAGCAAGGTCCCTGAGAGCCTCCCCAGGAGATTTACCGAGACAGACTCAGTGGCTGCAGGATGTGGACTGGTTAGAGGGGCAGGTGACCCCCATCATCTGTGGAAGACCAGCCAAGTCATGGGAATTTTGGTGGAAGCCACCCTGTCTCTGCTTGTTCTTGCTTTGGCTCCTGCCACCAGGTCTGTGGACCCACCTGTGTGCTTGTGGCTCACAGGGCAGTGGAAAACATCGGCCTCTCTCTTAGCACTGGGCCCCAGTCACACAAGCGGAGCCGTGGAAGACAGGCTGCCCTGGCTGTATATGAGAGGGTCATCTTCCTTCCCTGGGGACATCTGGTGACTGTGCTAGAGCCTTCTGGGATGGATCTGGGCTCTTCAGTCCATGGGAGTGGCTGGGATGACTCTGGGAGCCCCCTCACTGTTGTGTGATGTGGTGGGGGAACTGCCTCCCCACTGGTGCTCAGCAAAGCACAATTGAGAAAGGGTGGCTTACGAGCTGTGGCAGAACCCTGCCAGCCCTTCAAGTGGCTAACACTGGTGCCGGCACACACAAATGTCTATTGGCTCAGACTTACTGAATACTCAAGTAACTCATGCCAAGCACCTAGACAACAGTCAAGGAAGATGCAGACACAGTACCTGTGCTTGCAGGGCCAATCATCCAGTAGGGGCCCCAGAAGAGTGAACATGATTGCAGGTCAATGCTGATGATTATATTCACAGGATGCTGGCTGGCTGTGTGGGAGAGGCAGTGACCCAACCTGGGGAGAAGGAGGCCCTCCAGGGGAGGTGATGTTGATGCTAAGAGCTGAAGACAGGATGTGTTAGTTAACCTGGCAAGGAGTGGAAGGAGATGTGTCCTGTGGATGGACATGGTCCACAGAGTTGAAGCACAGAGGGTGAAGCGGGACTATCTGGAGACACTGCCAGATCACAACCTTGAAAACCTGGTCAAGGAGCTTCATTGAAGTTTAGGCTGAGAGCAATGGGAGCCATGGAGAGGTTTTCAGCCCAAATGTGATGGGCTCAGATCTGGCCTTTAGAAAGCTGGCCGCAGCTACAGTGTGAAGAGTGGTCAGAGGGACAGGGGAGGCTGCAGGAAGATCAGGCACAGGCGCTGCAGTGATTTAGGTGAGAGATGATAGAGCCACAGGGAAGGGCAGTGGGGTGGAGACAAAGCCAGCAGATCTGAGAGATGCACAGCCTTTGTGGTTAACTAGATTTATTGGTGGGAGAGGCAGCATTTTTGCTATTCATCCAGCATAAACAGGAAGATGACTTATTGTTTGTACCAAATGGATGGATGAATGGATTTTCTGGGCTCAGTGCTCCTGTGCAGGAGAGGGCAGAGACCAGCATGGTGTAATTAAACGTCTTCTTTTGTGTGTATTGAGCTTCATAGCTTGCAAAACATTATCGAGGTTCCTCCAGACAAAAACTATCTTATCAGCCGTCACCACCCTTGAACTTTCACCGTTAGACATGAACTGTGGTGCGGATGGAAAGGGCACTGGTTTGGGAGTTGGAGAACCTGGGTTAAATTCCCACTCTGCCTTTGGTGTCCATGTGAACCTTGGGCAGTCATTGAACTTGTCTTGGTTTTGTCATCTGCAAAATGAGAATAATGCCTATTTTACAGAGTGGCTGTGGGGATTAAATAAAAGCATGCGTATAGAGGCGTCCAGCTTGTTCCTAGACCAGGATAGGAGCTTGGCAAGAAATCGGTCAGACATGAGTCCCTAAAAAATTAAAATCAGGTCCCCAAGGAAGAGCATCCTCCAGGCTGAAAGCCGGGGATACAGGAGAGTGGTGTGGGAAGGGGGTGGTCAGGGAAGGGGAGTTGGTGTATCGAGGTGGATGAGCTGCTGCCTGCAGGAGCTCAGAGAACAAGCTTCCCCATGCCTCAGTTTGCTCTGGGTTAGCTCAGCAGCAGCACTCAATATTCCACAGAAGCAAGGGGGAAGCCAGATTAAATAAATGTCATTTTGGACTCAAAGATATTGGCACTGGGATGGTCTCTTCTTAAAGCATTCATCAATTGAGAGGCTATGGATTTAGCCATCTTGCTTTTGCTGAGTTTAATGACAGCCATGAGACAGCCTATTGTCTCCTCAAGCTAACAGAAAGAGTAACAACACTCCACAGGGCACATTTGAGCCAAGCTCTGCTGATTGATGCTGCTATTCGGGACTTCCCCTTTGTGGCTCCAGAGACTATCAGATAGCCGAGAGCCAGCGGGGACAGACCTGGACACTGCCTAGTTTCCCTTGGCCCTGTGAGAGGAGAGAGGTGAACTGGTAGAGGAAGGCTGCACAGTGGCCTGTGGTTAGTACCTGTTGCTTAGAAATTTTTCTTCTGGTTACCGAGTTCTGGAACTTACCCATGTCCAACATCCAGAGCAGGGCCAGTCCAACCAGTGGGCAAATTTCTGGAATCCCAAGACAGATGGTACCCTATTTATGGTGGTTCAAATTATGATTTTTCAACTTTATGATGGTGTGAAAGCCATATACATTCAGTAGAAACCGTACTTTCAGTACCCATACAAAAACCATTTCTGTTTTTCACTTTCAAACTAGTATTAAATAAATTACATGAGACATTCAACACTTTGTTATAAAATAGGCTTTGTGTTAGATGACTTTGCTGAAACGTAGGCTAATGTAATTGTTCTGAGCACGTTTAAGGTAGGCCAGGCTAAGCTATGATGTTTGGTAGGTTAGGTGTATTTAACATGAATTTTTGACTTTTCTTTCTTGATATTTTCTTTTATTTCTTTTCTTTCCTCTTTTTCTTTCTTTCTTTCTTTTTCTTTTTTTTATTTTCTTTTGGTTGACAGGGTCTTGCTCTGTCATCCAGACTGGAGTACAGTGGTGCAACCACGGCTCACTGCAGCCTTGAACTCCTGGGCTCAAGCAATCCTCCTACCTCAGCCTCCATAGCAGTCGGGACCACAGGTATGTGCCACCATGCCCGGCCAATTTTGTTTATTTTTTTGTAGAGGCGGGGTCTCCCTATGTTGCCCAGGCTAGAACTCCTGGACTCAAGCAATCCTCCCACCTCAGCTTCCCAAAGTGTTGGGATTACAGACGTGAGCCAACACGCCTAACTTAGTTACAATATTTTAAACTTACGATGTATTTATCAAGATGTAGCCCCATCATATGTTGAGGAGCATCTGTATATTCTCAATATATTTCTTTTCTCTGGCGAGACCCCAGTTCCTAAAATGACCCAACCTTCTTATTTACCAACGGGCAACTTGGGGAGAGGATGTTGAATTTGACCTCTGGCCCCTAACTCAGGGTTCTCTAAAGTAGAATTTGGGCTTCGTGAACTACAGTGTGTTTTAAAAGTCCAGCGGAAGTTGCTCCTCATCCCCATCACGGGAACATTAATGTTCTTGCCTCTGGCTGGCTTTATTATGTCCTTACTGCAGTGACGTTGTTATGTCCTTACTGCAGTGACGTTCCTTGCTGATGGAAAGGGCTGGATTCCCACTTCACTCTTTCCCTCTTGTCCTCTGGCCTGATGCAAAGGCCCCCACCAGGTGCCCGGCAGGATCCTCCCCTTTCTGCTCAAGCCACTGCCAGACAGGGTTTCAGCTAGAGACTGAAGCCAGAGGGAAAAGGAAATAGGGGCTTGTCATGCATTTGCTTTTAAGAAGAAAATGGCTCTTTGCCCCATGTCCTCTCCTTCCCATGGGTGGCCTCTCTCTCTTCAGCCATGGAGAGGCAGTGGGAACCAGCGTCCCCACCCAGAGGCAGCAATGACAACTTGGTCTTTGGGGCTGACATGAGGCATCAGCACTTGCTGGGAAGTAGTGGCAGCTGGCAGGCCAGCCAGCAGCCACCAAAGGCACAGCTTCAGCAATGGCATCATGCTGCCTGCCTGGCTGACAAGGCTCTTGTTGGCTGTTGGGGCTGTGTAGGCAGCAGTTGTAAGCCAGTAACAGCACTGCCTATTTGCAGCAGGAAAGGGCCTGGAGGGCACCTGTCCCTTCTTGGTACATTCGTGTTGGATGATTTGCACACACACACACGCACACACTCATAGTGATGGTGGAGGGGAGCAGGCAACTCACTCCAGTGGGACAGATGACTGTGAGCATGCCCTAGGCTGGCTCCATTCCCTTGCCCAACATCTAAACAGTCAGAAGGCCGCTGCTATGACCTTTCAGTGGACAACTGGACCTTGACCAAAGAGGCCCTGCAGACACAGGAGAGCGACTGGAGCTCCCCTGCAAAGTGGGTCCCTGCCTGGGGACCTCCCCGGGTGGATCAATGTGCTTACACCGCAAGTGGCAGGGCCCTATTGGGTTCACAGCAGCTGTGTGGGTCAGCTCTCAGCCACCCCCCTGACCACCCCCAGCCCTCTGTCTGGGGATCCCCCTGAGCCCAGACTACCTGAGTACTCTTCAGGCTCCTCACTGCCTGATATGGTTTGGTTCTGTGTCCCCCAAATCTCATGTCAAATTGTAATTCTCAATGTTGGGGGAGGGGCCTGGTGGGAGGTGATTGGATCATGGGGGCGGACTTCCCCCTTGTTGTTCTCGTGAAGGTGAGTTCTCATGAGATCTGGTTATTTAAAAGTGTGTGGCACCTATCCCCTCACTCTCTCTCTCCTGCCGCCATGTGAAGAAGTTGCCTGCTTCCCCTTCGCCTTTGCCTTCTGCCATGATTATAAGTTTCCTGAGGCCTCCCAGCCATGCTTCCTGTTAAGCCTGTGAAACTGTGAGTCAATTAAACCTCTTCTCTTTATAAATTACCCACTCTCAGGTAGTTCTTTTTAGCAGTGTGAATACAAATGAATACACCACCTCTCAAGCAAGTTTTCTAGACAGAACAGTGAATGAAATAATATGACCGTTTTATATTATAGAAGACAAAAACATGTACTTCCTTTTAGCTCTGGACTGGGCAACTACTGGTCCCCTCAGCAAAGATTTATCTTTCTGCATTTGCAATGAAAACATGTCCAACTCCAGGTTTGGGGATGAGGACAAATCAGCTGGTCCACGGTGGAGAAACCCTGTCACAGTAGAGTGAGTTGGTCTGGGGGTGAGGCTTGCAGTAGGAGTGTGTGTCTCAACAGACAGAGCCCCCTTGCTCCTGACTTTTCGCCACACTCTGCATCTGCTGCAGCCAAGCAGAGGGTGGCGCCTGCAGTGGTAAGAGCTCACTGCAGGTTCATGAACAGATGCTGGTTGTGTGTCATGGTAAATGGTAGGAAAACATGGACTGACTGAAGGGAGGAAGCCTGAAGAGGAATACAATTTAAGTACATGTGTTTGAGCCTGGCTGTCCTTTGCAGCCAGGAGCTAATGACACTTGTGAGCAGGAGAAGTCAGTTCAAACACATCAGTGATGAGGGCTGACAAAAAAAGGGTAAGCAGGACCCTATCCAATGTGGCCAATGGTTTACTCATAGGGGAGCCGTGGCTAACACAGCAGCTTCACGATGTAGCCGTGGGTCATGGTACATTTAATGAACTGATGGCCTGGGGGTTCCTTGCAGAGGAGAAAAAAATTCAACAGAAGGTAGTCCTAGATACAATTCCTTTATTATCATTATCATGCCCCCTAGCACATGAAGCTGGGCTTCCACCTAGATCAGCTAAGGACAGGGGTATGTTTACAATGAGAACAATTTCTCTATGCGCATTAGGTTAAGACCTCTTCTCTGTTTCTAGAATACTGTGATGACTCACATCCATGGGCCAGCTGCTTCCAGGAATCCATCTGGCCTCAACAACATTGGGCTGCCTGGAATAACGGCTGGCACTTGCACAGGGCAGGGTATGGGGAGCAGGCCTCAGGTTTATAAGCAGGACTGGGCACTGCTGAAATAGGGGAAGGGGGCAGCCAACATGTAGCAGGTTCTCCCAAGGCATGTAGAAGTTGGTGGGAAAATGGGGCTGGGGTGTGTAACTTGTCCCCTTCCAGGAAGGGACCCAGGCACCTGGTCTCCTGGCCAAGATCACAGGCGATCCAAGAGTCCTCCAGGGAAGAACAAGAACTGCACAGACGCACAGCAGAGAGGCTTTCCTGGCTGGCCATGAGCTGACCATGGTGACACGCTTCACTCCTAGCCCCCAATGGTGGAGCGAGTCGGGAATCTCGGCTGCTGCAGGTGGAGCTCAGCTGGACAGCCTGAGGTACTCATGGACCCTGAGCGTTGTGACATGTAAAGGAGGGTGGCTGCATCTTCCTTTGGTGTTTGGTCTAAAGCAGTGGTTCTCAAAGTGTGGTTCCAGGGCCAGCAGCTGCAGCTCCTGGGAACTTGTCAGAAATGCAAATGATTGGTCTTGCCCACTCCTGATGAGAAATTCTGGGGGGTGGGGCCAGCAATCTGTTTGTAAAAGCCCTTCCAGGTGATTCTGATACTCACCGAAGTTTGAGAACGACTGGTTTAGACGCTTGGTCACTATACCCTCAGTGGATGTGAGCCCGGCCCAGCATGGCCAGTATATCAAGAATGTTTTCCAGGTGGGTGACAGGGTGGGTGGTGATGACAGTGACTGTCCCAACTCACTTCTCCAGCCTCAAAACCCTGAAGAGGGCCCAAGTAGCAGATTCTGAAACAAAGCTGGCTCCAAGGCAAGAGGGCCCCGAGGCACATCACAATGATCTACCATATTCCCCCCACACCCCACAGGGCCGTGCTGGGCCCTTCTGGATGTAAACACCTCTGGCCATGCACAGCACAAGCTCCCTGACAGAAATCACACAGGGTCCACCCCAGAGCCCCAGCAATAGCAGGTGCCCCATGCAGGGGGCTAGAAAGAAGGCAGAAAAGGGCCTCACCTGAAGGGGAGGTGGTCAACACAACCCCAGGGTGCCCCTCCCTGCCCAGGGTTGCTCTGGGAGTGGGTGTGACCTGAGGGGTGACCTCCATGTGGACATGAGATTCTGCACCCTGCATGAAGGCCCTGAGGGCTGAGGGACAGTCCCTGCTCTTGCTTTGGGGTCAGTGTTTGTACCTGGGGTGACGGGCTGGGTGGTCGTCACGGGCCTTAGCCCTTTGGGCTCTTGGCCACTGCCTGAGCCCCTGCACCCAGAGGGTCCAGCTGTCAGCCTGAAATAAGCCAGGCTTCTGCACCCCCGGCCCATGTGCCATGGGTGCTGCTTTGTGACAGTGCCCCCTGAGTGACACTCTGTTCCTTAATGACAGCCTGATGGCTCCTTATGGAGATGGAGAACTGGGGGACACTGAGGGGAGGGGTTCCCGGCCCAGTTTTCTTCCTTCTCCCCAGCTGGGGGTGGCAAGACAACAGCCATGACCACTGACAAGCAAGTCTTAACTTTGCCCAGCCTTAATTTCCTTTTATAAAATGGGGGAAATAACACCCTCTTGCTGGGGTAACTGCGAGATAAGTATTTATGGTGACAGATTCTAAGTGCACAGCAGGACCTTGGTAAACACAAAAAAATCCCTGGACACACTCCCCACTTACTCTGCCTGAGGGGCTCCTGGAGATGGGGCTAGGGTGCCGGGGAAGCAGGAGGGAGAAAGACAAGAACGGTCACAAATATTCCAACCCGTCAGCCAAGGCCACGTTTCATTCTTGCCTGCTGTCCTGACACAGGTCACCCAGGGGACTCGGGGACGCGCCCTTCTCTTGGTGTCTGCCCCTGCGAGCTCAGGGAAGGGCAGCATGGAGTGTGCAGGGCAAGAACGTGCCCGTGCCAGCTGGGTGGGATCCCAGCACCTGATGCTGCTTTCCTAGGGCCCTGGTGTGCAGGGGCCTTTTGCCTGCACGGGACTGAAGGTGACATTCCACAGGCGTGTCCTCTCTCTCCAAGGAACTCAAGGCTGTAGCAGCCTCCAAACAGGGGCCCGGGAGGAATTGACCTGGGTATGGATCTGTACCCTCGTCAGCAGGAGGGGCACACCCCGCTGGGGACCACATCGTTGGCTCTGGACTCCAACCATTGTACACTCCCAGGCAGAACCTGCCGTATCCTGGGCCTCTGTTTCCTCTAACCCTGTCTCATCTCCCAGGCTGTTGGCATGGACAAGGAGGTCAGATTTCCAAGCCCTGGGTTGTTCTACCACTGTCTGCCGCTTGGACAAGCCATCTTTCAAGAGGCAGTCTGGCTGGACGACACACAGGGCAGGAATTGCAGCTAATCCTGCCCCAGTCAGGCTGGACCAACCATCCCATGGGGCTGGGGCAGATGGGGCAGGCTGTCCTGGGCCTGCCTTCAATGATAAGGCTGTGCACAGGGCACCTGCCTGTCACCTGTCTTTCATCCCCACCAGGGCAGACAGGTAAGGCCCCAGCACCCCCTGCCCACTGCCGCCTCCCCCTGGCACCTCGGCAGGAAGAACATGGCTCTAGCCCAGTACCCTCTTTCTCTCTCTCACCACTCTCCCTCTGTCGTAAGAGTTGTCAGTTGTGATCTCATCCTTCAGAGAACTTGGGAGTCATAGTCAGTTTTTGATTATCTGCATGAATCCCAGGAGGTTGGAGGGCAGCAATGCTAATCACGCACTATACCATTTCTCTCGGCCTCTGTGCAGTCTGGGATATCTGGTCTTCGTTTTAATGAATTTGCATTGGCAACCCCAGGGCCTTTTAGGCAGGGGAGATAAACCAGCCTAGGCTCCAAGAAGCCACTGGAGAACACCCAGAGAAGAGGAGGCAACCGGCCCCGAGGCTGGGCTTCCCTCTGTCCATGTGGGTACTTCCTGTGCTGAGGATGCAGTTTCTGGACAGTTCAGGGCTCTGTTGGGGTCAGCACTGGGTGGCCTTGAGGCCACTCCTATGTATGGGAGAGAGAGCACGCCTGCCCCAGGACTGGCCTAGGTCAGCAATGTGCTCATCACAGTGCAATCTGGATCAAGCAGGGAGGTGAGCTGGGACCTCGCTCAGCCTTGGCCTTAGCACAAGGTGCCCCCCTTCATGGGGGGAAGTAAGAGGGTCCCGCTCTGGGGAGAAGTGCAGGAGCTGGGGAGGGTGGAAGCCAGGTGTGGGGTTCTTGTGTAGTGAATGGGCTGCCCCTTTGTAATAGCCATTTGGGGGGGTCCCTATGGGTGTTGTACAAAAAGCTGCCAGCATGGATACTCTGTATTTTCTAGGATTTTCTTTCTGTTCTCCCTTATTACTGGGGAAAGTTCTTCCTGAAAATTCCGCAAATTCCCTGCTGAACTTAGTGATGCAAGAGAGAACCCAAGGAAAAAGCTCTGTCCACTCTAGGACAGGTGGGAAGGGAAGCAGAGCTGGACCCCCTGGAAGCAGTGTGGTGGTGGCTACGGGGTCAAGGAGAGGGCCCCAGGAAAAGTGAGGTTCAGGCAGATGCCCCTCTATTCAGAGCTGCCCCTTCTCAGCAGCTCCGACTTTGCAGGGTTGCGAGTTGGTCCACTCCAGGAGATGTTTGACACCCATCAACATTAGGTGCTGAAGATGGTCTGAAACCTGGTGTTCCTGAGAATCAGGCCCCGGAACAGGAGATTCCCGAGGGGCGTATCACTAGAGGCCAGGGCTTGGGGCCATGGTCTCCCAGGGAGGTTTCTCCCAGGAAGGCAGCTAGGCAGGTGCAGGGCTCTGCTCCTAGTGCAGCATGTGCTGGTATGGCCACCTTACCCCCTGCTTCCTGCCAGGGCGGCTCTACCCAGCCTGTGGCTGCCCTACCCAGGCCTCCCCACTCCTAGGCCCTTCAGGAAGGAATGAGGCCAGCAGGACATGGCTTTCCAGGTGAGGCAGTGTGGAGAGTGGGCAGGTCAAAGGGCAAGGTCTTCTGGGGGAAATGCCAGCCCTCCCTGCCCCACCCCATGCTTTTTCCAGAAACAGCAAGGTCAGGGCTTCTGGGCATGGGTGGGGGAATCCCGTGCTGAATGCAGGAGTGCCGGGGTTCCTGGGTTTTCTGCCGATTGTTCCAGGTTCAGGAGCTGGGAGGGAGCAGAGAACCCAACCGCCACCCTCCCGTAGTCCACGGGTGCCCCCGTTCCTGGTGAGGGGCTCTGGTTGTCTCCTGAAAGGATCATTTCCCTGCCCAGGATCTGGCCATGGGGGCTCAGAAATGGAGGAGAGGGGGCCGAGGGTCTCTGCCTGGGTGGGCACAGAAGCTATGGTCTCAGGCACTCGGTGGATTCGCAGGAGCTAGGCACAAAGGAGGGGGCATCTATGGCCCTAGTGGAGCTGGTGCTAACTCTGCAGGCCTTGCAGATGGCATGTGGCCACATGTTGTCTTGAGGGGCAGTTGGAAGAGGAGGTGGTTGGCCATTAGTAAAAATGCCGCTGGAGCCTCTGGTGCAAGCAGCAGGTGAGAACCATCCCGCAGATCTGCCAGGTGGAGAGAGCAGAGGAGCAAAGAGAAATCAGAACTCCTGGAAGCTGCCGGCCCTCAGGGCCCTGGAGCAGTGCTGCTCACTCGAATACCCTGGGGCCTGGGCAAAGGGCAGATTCCTGCTCAAAACTGCTCAAAATGTCAGGGTGGGACCTGAGGTTCTGCATTTCTGACAAGCTCCCAGGTGATGGTGGTGTGCCTGGGGGAACCACATTCTGCCATCTACTATCCAAGAGCAGGGCTTTGCACACTTTAATGGGCATGAATCATCTGGGGACCTCCTTATTACAATTCTTCAGGCCTAGTGGCGGCCTGAGAGTCTGCATTCCTAGCAAGCTCCCAGTTGATGCTGCTGGTCTGTGGTCCTAGATCTTCTCCAGAGATGGCCTGATTTAATTAGGCCCTAAGAGTAATGTTTCCACTCCCTCATCAGAGCTGTCTGAAGTGGACTGTCTCTCTAGGAAAGAGTCTGCCTGTGTTTTGCTGTCCTTAGACTCTAGAGCAAAACTCAGGTCCATCTTCGATGCTCTGGCTGGTGTACAGGAGCCATGGGGGAAACTGAGACTCTGGGAAGAGCCTCCTGAGCTGTCACCCTGTCAGTCAGCATAGAATAAGAGCTGGTGAGCTCACCCTGTCAATCAGTGTAGAATGCAGCACCAAGCTCAGGCCCCAGGCGTCCTGTCTGCCAGCCCTTCTGTCGGTATCCACAGCTGAACAAGGGGCTGGAGCATCTGGTCCAAAGCAGACACAGGCCTGGGAGGATCACCCTGCACACCGCCTTCTCACTTCTCCCACTTCCAGAATGCAGAGGAGCTTTATTCTCCCTCCTTGCTCTTCATGGGCCCTCCTCTGCCTTCTTCCTCCTCTTCCTCTCCTCCCTCCCACCCAAGGATGCATTGAGGGTAATGTGATTATGATCCTGATAATGATGATGACATGTTGTTGGATCTTGGCTCTCTGCACACAGGAGGGGGCACTGGGCTAAAGCAGCCCCATGACTGTCCCGTGATACCTGGGGTGAAGGTGGCTCTCCTAAGTATTGAAACAGTGTCCTGACTTTCCTAGCAGCTGCTGCTGCCCTGACCTTGCCGGTGCAAACCTGGATGCAGGTGGAGCTCTATCCAGTGGGAGGAGAGCAGGCTGGTGGAGATGCGTGTGTCCTGTACTGTCTCTGACAGCTAGCTGGGGGAGGTAGTGTGGAAGGGGCCCATCCTCTTCCCCTCCTTCCTCCTCTCCATCCCTCCCAACCTGGAGGACAGCGTGGAGTGTGAACACTGCTTTCAGCCTGCAGACTTGGTGTTAATCCACCTGGGGCCTCAGGCTGAAAGGCGGCTTAGGAGGTTATCTCATCTCCCGCTAGCTTTACGCAGGCGGCCGTCATGCCGTTCCACCCATGCAGGTTTCCCTACCTCATGGTTTGATGATTTTCCTGTGGGATTTTCTGGATCTTATCTGTGCTAAGAGGGAGGCCAGAAGGGAGCTGTTTGACCGGCACAGGTTTGTGCTGGAAACCATGTCTGCATCGCCTGCAATGTACGTCTCCTGCTGGGGGAGGACTGGAGGGGCCACACTCCCCAGCAGACAGGCTCCTGCGTGAGCTGGGTGTTCCCAGCGAGCCTCCCAGGACAGGCACAGTAAGGGGCAGAGGTGTGTGGGCCAGACCCTCATCACTGCGTCCACATGCACACACACACACTTGCACACACACACACACGTGAACACCACGCTGAAGCATGTGGAGGGTACAGGATGCCACCCAGTCTGGTTCCTGAATAGGCATTGCCATCTCCCTCCTGACAGAGGACACTGAGAAACCAGCACGGATGGCTCCAGCAGCCAACAGGGGGCACACAGAGACAACACAAGGCCAGCTAACCGCAGGTGCTGGAGGTGGCAGATGGGGTTGGGCCCGGCTTGGAGGCCCAGCCACATGGTGCCTGGTGCTATCTTCTGGCAGCTGCCTGTGTGTGACACTTGGCCACACATGGGACATTTTTAACAGGGAGGCCGTCCTGCCTTCAGCTTCCTCTGAGGCTTCTGAGTCAGCACCTGGCTGTCAGCAGAGAGCATGAAGGAAGGGCCACAGAGCTTCTGAGAAGTCATTCCAAAATGATTGGTTTCCCTTTTAATGACCTGCAGATCCCAGTCTTGACTGTCTTGTGTTTTCCATGTTCTGAGACATGTTACCATCTTGCAAGCTGAGCATGTTGGAGGTGGGCTAGGTTCTACTTGAGGCTGCACCAGTGGCCTGTGTGATCTTGGGTAAAGTTACCTCCCTCTCTGAGCCTCAAATCCCCCTCTGCCAATAGGAAAACATCCGGTCTGTACACTGGTCTAGGGTCTTCCTTGGCAAGATTCTTTAAAAACTAGAATAACAAGAACCAACAGCACAGCACCCAGTCCTTCCAACACCCCAATCCTTTGAGAGGCCAGGCAGGATAAAGACCCCCGCTCCCCACCTGCAAGCCAGGGCTTTGCACACGCTATTCCCTCACCCTGGCTCTTTCCCCTCTGTCATTGCCTATCGGGCTCCTTCAGGACTTAATGAGATATCACTTCCTCCAGGAAGCCTTCCCTGACCTCCCGTGACTGGTTAGGGCCACTGATGTTTGCTTCTTAAACCCAAGGACTCCTGCTAACACAGCACCTAGCACTGCACTGTGACTGCCATACACTTACCTGTCCCCTTCCTTCAAGTAAAATCTCCCTGGGAGAAGGGACGGCACTCTGCCTGCAATGTGGCCCTGGCACTGGGCACAGCACCTGGCACACAGCAGCTCTGTTCCAAAGTAAACACAGCCTCCTCTGCCGGCCCCCTGGGCGGAGGCTCCCAGGACGCTGATGTGAGGAGGGCTGCAGGAAAAGGGCTGGGCTACTGTGACATTTTTAGTGAAATGTTCCCCAGCCAGAATATTCTAGAAATTAGCTTCTAAAGTTACCTCAAAGTGGAGTGCCTCCAGATTCCACCCACAAGAGGGGAAGCTGGTGCAGAGGAAGCAGGCCTGTGAGCTGGAGGCCTGGCCAGCTCTGCCACAGCGGCTGTGTCACCTTCAGCAGGTGACTTTCTGGTGAGGCTTGATGTCTTCAGATGTGCATGAATAAGATGAGCCCGGGGACTCTGAACCCCGAATGTATGTTTGACCCAGCTGGGAGGCTTAAAAATACCCGTGCACAGACCTCAGCCCACTCCAGACAATCCAAGCCAGTCTGTGGAGGGGGTGCCAGAGCAATGTGTGTGTGGTTTTTTTTTTGTTTTGTTTTTTAGATGGAGTCTTGCTTTGTCGCCCAGGGTTGAAGTGTAGTGGCACAATCTTGGCTCACTGTAACCTCCACCTCCCGGGTTCAAGCAATTCTCCTGCCTCAGCCTCCCGAGTAGCTGGGATTACAGGCGCGTACCACCACGCCCAGCTAATTTTTTGTATTTTTAGTACAGACAGGGTTTCACCTTGTTAGCCAGGCTGGACTCAATCTCCTGACCTTGTGATCCCCCTGCCTCCGCCTCCCAAGTGCTGGGATTACAGGCGTGAGCCACTGCACCTGGCCACAATGGTATTTAAACAACTCTACTCTAGCATGCAGCCAGGGCCGGTGGCTCTGGTCCAGGTAGTCTGTAAGGCCTTTCCAGGTGGAAGAGTCTGATCGGGTGGTACCTCAGCACTGTGATGATCCTGTCCAGGTCTGAAACTGCCTCTGGTGTGCTGTTCCATGACTGAGGTGGGTGAGAAGCCTGGGGGGCCCCTGCTGAGGGGATAGGTGCACTCCCGGAATGCAGAACTTCAGCATGGAGGGGCCTCTGCCGATCAAGTGCAGGGGATTCTCCCTTCAGCATCCCTGCCGGCCCCCAGCCTCTGCCCCAGCCTGCAGCCGCAGGGAGTTTAGTACTCTGCAAGGGCCACTGTTTAGCAATTCAAATTGTTAAAAAGTTCTTGAATGTGTCTCCTGAAAATAATTCCACCTACTGTTCCCCTTCTGTCCTCTGGAACCTCCCAGGAACAGTCCCTCCTTTCCCCACATGACTGCCTTGGGCATTTCAAGACCACGAGGGTGCTGCATCTGCTCCCCATCTCCTGACCTCTCTCACATCTGACTTCTGGGCCCCACACTCCCCTTGCCACTCCCTCTGCATCTGGCCGCATAGTGGCATCACTAGAGAGCTTCACGAATACACTGATGCCCAGGTGCCAGCCCCAGACCATTTTGTTTCATTTTGCTGCGGGGAGCCCAGGCCTGGGGTATTTTTTTTTTCTTTGAGACGGAGTCTCACTCTGTCGCCCTGGAGTGCAGTGGCATGATCTAGGCTCACTGCAACCTCCGCCTCCTGGGTTCAAGCGTTTCTCCCGCCTTAGCCTTCTGAGTAGCTGGGATTACAGGCGCGCGCCTCCATGCCCAGCTAATTTTTGTATTTTTAGTAGAGACGGGGTTTCACCATGTTGGCCAGAATGGTCTTGATCTCTTAAGTTCATGATCCACCTGACTCGGCCTCCCAAAGTGCTGGGATTACAGGCCTGGGGTAGTTTTAAAGCTTGTCAGGTGATCCCACTGTGCAGCCAAGGTTGAGGACCACTGCCCTGGGGCTCTGCGGAGGTCTGGTCCCACCTGGAGGGTGGCCTGAGCTGGCACCTCCCACACCCTGACTCTCTCCATGATTTCTACCAGTGCAGTTCCAGGCCACATCTTTGTGGGCAGCACCCTATCATGTAACTCAGGCAGATGCCCTCTCTCTGTTACAGGCTTAAGTGCAAAACAAAACAAAGCTCAAGTGCAAGGACTTTAACTCTATTAAAGGTTTTACCCTTCGTTTCAGCACATCTTCATATCCAACGAGCTCTTTTTTCAATGCTGGCTTTATCATACAACAGACCAGAAATGCTAGGTAAATAGTTTAGCATGCTTCCTGGGTCTTCGTTGAGATCACCAAGAAAAATGAAGAGACAGGTCTGAGGCTGAAGGCCACGGCCCGCTCCTGGAGACTTTTCGCTAAGCTGATGTGAACTCTCATCTCTCTCTCACAGCGTGGCCATCCAGCCTGCCCTGATTTCTCCTGAGCATACAAGTGCCTGGTCCACACGTCCACAAGGTAACAAGGAATGCATTGCCAAATACCTGGCTGAAATCAAGGTGTGCTCCCTTCATTAAATATTCTGCTTAGTTTTCAGTGTTCACAAACCATCTGCTTTAACACTCCAGGTGTTGCAGGACATCAGTCTCAAGGTCACTGGTTCCTGCGATGGGAACCTTACTGAAAAATCATAGAACACCAGATCCAGAAGGTTCCATAGAAATGGGCTAGACCCACAGCTTTCAAGCTGTATTGGAAACCCTTAGTGTAGCTCAGGGCCACCAAGGGCAGTGAGG
The DNA here is from genome assembly GCF_000001405.40 of Homo sapiens. Taxonomy (NCBI): domain Eukaryota; kingdom Metazoa; phylum Chordata; class Mammalia; order Primates; family Hominidae; genus Homo; species Homo sapiens. Next base: position 30,986,496 of record NC_000012.12, on the reverse strand, counting down.
GGAGGCCGTCATGCTAGGCTTGTCCCTGCCTGAAACAGCTCCACCTCCTATGGTTTATGTACTGGGCTCCTACGTGATATTTCCATTGAAAAGAGGATGCTGCTACTTAAAAAAGGCTCACAAATATCCAATCTGTCCATTTTACAGGTAAGGACACTAAGGGCTCAGAGACGGAATGAGATTTCCCTGAGGTAACACAGCAAGAGGTGGGGCTATGTTTAGAAATCAGGCCCTGTAACTCCCAAGCAAGATTTCTTGCAGTAGCTGGGGGCTGGGGAACATTATGACACCATGTTGGACTGATATTTCCTGAGCCTTGGGGGTCTTGGAAGTGCCAGGCTGGGTATGTAGGGGAGATAAATGCCTGGTGTCTGCTCTCTAGGAGGTAAACTATGACCCTGGGGAAGAGACTGGTATGAGCCCTTTCTCAAAGCTTAGGACCCACCTGGGACTTGAGCAGTGTAGTGCCCAGCGTCAGCTGGCAGAGGGAGCCCTAACCCGAGGCTTGGCCGCTCCTGGGCTGGCTCAGTGGGCCACAGCAGAGAAAACTGGGCAAGAGGTTGAGAGCCACCAAAAGCCATTCCATAGCAACGGCGAAGGAACAGACTGCATGGTGGGGGTTTTGAGTGGGCAGGAGGAGTGGCAGGCCTGCAGGTGCACTGCTCAACAACCTGACCTCTTCAATATCAGACTTATGCAGCTGTGCGGTTTACCTTGACCGTCGGCTCTGGGCATCCGCAGTCCTGCTCCCTGCCCTCAGCCTCACTGCCCTCGTCTGCAGCTTCTACAGGCTCTCAAGGCCAGAGAGGTGAAGAAGAAATGGACAGAGTGGCCCAGGCCTGGTCTGTGTCCATACAGAGCAGGCCCCCTCAACACCTGGAGTAACAGGTTTCTGGAGAGTTCAACTGCTCTGTGCTGCTGAGCGTACCTTCTCCTGTTCCCACTGACTACTCCTCTGGGGTTCAGCACACAGGACAGAAGGCCTGCCCTGGGGAAGTGCAATAGAGGGGCAATGCTCATGCCACCTGGGCTCCCTGGCCCTGCAGCTGAGTGAGAATGATGGGGAGCAGGCTGGTCTGGCCAAGGAACAGCTAGAGCTTTTTTTTTGAGAGACAACGTACTAATGCAGAAATCATAAAAATGATGGGTATCATTTATTGAACACCTGCTATCTGCTCAGCCATGAGCCAAGTGACTTACATGGATATTGCTAATTCCCACCACCAGGCAAGCAGATAAGGTATAACTAGCCCCATTTTACAAATGAGTAACTGAGACTCAGAGATGAAAGAACTGGCCCTAGGTCCACAGCTGTAGATGGCAGAACCAAGATGGGGGTCCCTCCAGAGGCGACGGACCCTCCTCCCAGTGTGTTAGGCTGCAGCTAGACCTTCCAGGCCCACAGATGATGTGGGTAGGTGGCACCATGGTTTCCAAGGACCCTGCACTGGAAGTATCTCCAAGCCAGCCAAGGCCACTGTCCCCTGCTTCTCTTTCCCACAGATCTGTGTGTCATGGTAGGGAGTTCGGGAAAGCAAAGAACCAAAGCCAGGAGACCTGGGTGCTGGTTCAGGGTGTGAGGCCCTGGGTAAGTCACCTCTCTGGGTCTCAACTTTCTGATCTGTAAAATGTGGAGAACAGCTGGGTGCCATGGCTCATGCCTATAATTCCAGCACTTTGGGAGACTGGGGTGGGCAGATCACCTGAGGTCAAGAGTTCGAGACCAGCCTGGACAACATGGTGAAACCTCAGCCTCTACTAAAAATACAAAACTAGGCGGCGTGGTGGTGGGCACCTGTAATCCCAGCTACTTGGGAGGCTGAGGCAGGAGAATTGCTTGAACCTGGGAGGCGGAGGTTGCAGTGAGCTGAGGTGGCACCACTGCACTCCAGCCTGGGCAACAGAGTGAGACTGTCGCGCAAAAAAAAAAAAAAAAAAAAAAAAGCAAAAAGCGAAGAACACTACTCCTTGTCTGGCCTGGGTCTCAGGTTGTTGTGTGGACCCAATGAGAGGAAGCATCAGAAATCCTCTGAAGTCTACAGAAAACTGGAGAAAGACAGCTTCCAATTCTGGAGGCCTTCCTATGTGCCAGGTACTTCGTAAGTGGGTTGCAGGCATCGCCTCATTCTTAGACCTTAAGAGCTGGGGAAATGGTCCACATTTTGCAGATGAAGAAGTCAATGGACAGGGAAGTTAGGTAGCTCAAGGTTACCTAGGAGCAAAGCCAGGACTGGAACTGGGCCTTCTGAGGCCAAAGCCTCTGCTCCTCCCCTTCTCTAGATGGTGCTTAGCCCTGGAGTGGGAAGGGCTGTGCAGGACAGCAAGACTCCTAGAAGGACAGCCCACACTCAGCTCCTGCTGAGCGGAAGCAGGCGTGTTCGTGAGCTGGGGACTGCAGGGGCCCTTGCCGCTGAGGAGGCCTTCCTGGCTCCCCTCCTTCGGACCCTTGACTAGAGTAACCCAAGAGTGTCACCCTGACTTCCTGGGTGGCAGCTAGGGGAGAGGGTACAGGGAGAAATGGGAGCTAAAGGCATTGCTCATCCTCAGGGAGACAGCTGGATGAGGGCACACACACACACAGTCACTGCCCTGGACACCAAAATCCATGGATGCTCAATTCCTGATATAAAATGGTGCAATATTTGCATATAACCTATGCACATTCTCCCCTATATAATACCTTAACTCATCTCTAGACTACTTATACTACCTCATACAGTGTAAATGCTACGTAAACAGTCGATATATCGCATTACCCAGGGAATGATGACAAGGTTGTTCAGTACAGATGCAATCATCCATTTTTTGGAATATTTTTCATCTACAGTTGGTTGAATTCACGGATGCAGAACCCACGGACATGGAGGACTGACTATACACACACACAAACACACATGCACACACAAAGGAATGAATGCAGATACGTGCACACTCACACACACATGCACAAGCACCCCTAAACACATATACGTGCATACAACCCCAACCACATGGACCCAGAAGCATGCAGACACACGTACCACAGATGGCTTGCACGCTCACCCCCACGTGCACACACATGGGGTGCATGCACATACCTGAGCCCACACTCACACTCCGCCCAGGTCCCTGTTCCTGACAAGTTCATGTTGTCCCCAGCTATTTTCCTTCATGTTCTCTGGGGGAGAGACTGACCGTGGGATTCAGCCTTGGTTGCAGAGGGAAGGGGAGAGAAGAAGAGAGCAGGGTAGGGTGCGGGTGTGCAAAGGGTCAGTTATTTCAGCCCAGGTGGTTACTGAAGACCTGTGTCAATGGGAGAGGGGTTCAGAGCCCTTCCACCCCCACCAGTCCCCGCACTGCAACTCACCTGCAGGCAGGCCACCCCGATGCCCACTGCCCCCATAAGCAGCAGGTGGTCGGCCAGGAACTGCTCCAGCTTGGTGAGGCAGCCTCCCTGTAAGAGAAGGGCAGGTGATGCGGCCATGGCCCAGGAGCAGGCATGGGTGGGGACGGAGGGCGGGCTGTCACTGCAGCAGAGGCTGAGGACTGGCCAGAGGACTCACAGGCTGGACCCAACCTTGAATTGCTCACAGGCTACTTGAGTGGCCCCAGGGGCATGCCATGGTGTCCTATACTCTCCGGTATGAGCTGCTTGTCCCAGGGCTTTGTAGAGACTCTGGAAAGCCCCAGACACTGTGGGCTCGTGGCCAAGGAGCACATGTGTCCTGCTTTTCCCACACCCACCTGCCTGACCCAGCCTTTCTGGGGCTCCTGAACGGCCAGGCCAGGGCCCTCTCCTCACCCCCAACTTGAGCTTGGGTGCTCACCTCCACCTTATAGATGTTGGAGGGGTGGGCCCGCTGGCCGCAGCGCACCACCACTGTCTTGCAGCAGCTGTCGGGCACCTGGCGGCCCTCGGCCTCCCGCAACAGGATGTACGTGCTGTGCTGCCAGTCGGCTGAGCTGTTGCTTCCACAGCACTTGAACTGGAGGCAGAGGCAGAGGCAGAGGCTGGAGGTGAGAGGCCTGCGTAGGGTCCCAGGCTGCAGGACACATTATTCAAATACTAACCCAACCCCTATTTGTCTACCCGAACCATGGTTAGTTAGTATTTGTATAATGTGTTTTCCCTTCCCATGCTTTGAGCAGAGAGCTGGTCACGCCAGGGCCCTTCTCAGACTCATTGCTGAATGGCCTGCAGGATACCTGCTTGCCAGCTTTTTAGCCACCCAAGTCCTTTAAGGAGATTATGCTGGGTGTCTTGGGGGCAGGACGGGTCTGCGAGGTGGGTCCCCAGAGAGTGAGGCTGTGTACCACTGGGTGGCAGAGCCCAGGGTGGACAAAACCACAAGGCAGGGGAGTTTCCTGGTCACCCAGGGGTCAGGACGTGGGGACAGAGATCTAGCCTGGTCAGAGGCTCCCAGGCCCCCATTCAGGCTTTGAAGTCTCAGAGCCCCAGACCCGCCCATGGCACTGGGAGACCAGTGTCAACCAGAGGGGCTGTCATGAGTGCTAAGACCTGGGGTCATCTGTACCACCCCAGGGCAGGGAAGCACCAGCCCAGATATAAAATGATTCCAAGACAGTGGACATGGGTTGCTTCTTGCCTTTCCCAGTTGCGGCACTGAGATTCAAAGTTCCTACACAGGAGAGAGAACAGGGCTGCTGTGAGGCTGTCGCTGGTGTATGTCTGGAGGTGGGTGGGGTGGAGGTATGTTTAGTTCAGCTAACAAGAGTTTGCTAGGCAGCTACTATGTGCCTGGAGCGAAGAAACTTGAGTAAGGCATGGGGCCTACCCTTGGGTAGCTTAGCATCCACTGTCGCGTGGTAGAAGATGACAGAAGCTTGTGTGTGGCACAGAGGAGGAAGGGGTTAATGCTCTGTCCAGGGCCAGGAACAATCCACAGGGATGAACAGGGGCCCCCGGAGTCGAGGAGAGCATGACAGCACACAGAGCAGGGACTGGCACAGCGCGCAGAAGGAGTCACGCGGGAACTGCACATTCCACGTGACTCTGCTGGTCTGTGCTGGTGCCACCTGATGGCTGTGTCATTTGTAAAATGCAGACAACAAAAGTACCTCCATGCCATGCTGTTGTAAGGACTGAAAGAGGTGATTCATATAAAGCACTTAGAAGAGAGCCCGGCGCCATCAGTGGTGAAGGAGAGACACCTGCTTCCACCATCACGCTTGTGTGAATACAGCTTTGTGTGTCTCTGTCATTTACATCCACGTGCTGCTGCTGGAGGGCCGGGTGCTGGCCCTGGCTCTGCAGCCACTGCTTTCTCAGGGCTGTCTCCTGCCTGAGATGTGGCCTGGGGTTCTAAGTGTTTCTGGCCTGTGTGAGGGCCGTGTCCACATGCACAGACACCCTGCAGGTCTTCGTCAGTGACACAGCCTTCGCTGTCAGTTGTGCCTTTCCTCATCTGCCCCTGGCCCTGACCTGCCACTCCCACCCTCTTCACTTAAGCAAACCCCGCCTCTGCCCCATGGAACCCTCCCAACCTGCGCTGCTCTCTCTTCTGAGGGTGGCCCAGCCTTGCACTGCATGCACATCGCCTGCTGTGTGTCCAGCTTCCCCGAGGGCAGGGATCCTGTCCTGTTCCTCTTTGTCTAGCACATTTCCTCACAGGTGAGGCCCAGTGAGTGGAGTGCACACTTAGTTTTGCACAGGGCTGGCCAGCAGTGTGTGCTGCCTCCTCCTGGTCCTGAGCTAAGCCCATGGGGTGCGAGTGTGTCTGTGGGTGTGCACTTGTGTGTACATGCGTGTCCCGGGCCACTATTTCAGAGAAGAGACGACTCCCTGAAGCACCCACTGGGAGCTGGGCCTGAGTCTTGGAGAGATGGGGAGGGGCCTTCCAGTTGATCCATGACGCCGCTGGGGCTCACAGCTCCCCACATCTACTACCTCTACTTGCCTGACGTTCCGGAGCCAAGACCAAGCCAGGTCCAGGGGGTGGGGGTGGGGAGTGGGGTGGCAGAGAGAAAGGGGACCAGAGTGGGCAGGTGGCACTGCCTTGAATTTTCTGACACGGACACATCCGGATCCTAGAGCAGTGCTGTCCAGGAGAACGTTCTGCAATGAAGGCAGCATCCTACATCTGTGCTGTCTGATCAGAGCTCACTAGACACACGGGCTAATGAGCACTAGAAATGTGGTTGGTGTAACTGAGGAACTGAATGTTGTATTTAATTGAGCTGAAAATAGCCACATGTGGGTGGTGACTACCGTATTGAACAGGACAGCTCTGAGGTCCATTTGCCCATCCCTTATGTCTGGTCAGGCCAGTGGGTGTCCCTGGAGGGATTTGCTGCATGTCTTCTTAGGAGAAAACCTTTCTGTCCCCCAGCATTCTGTCTGATGGCTCACACTGGAGGGTTCTTGCGGCAGCTTAACTGAAATACCTCCGCTGGTTACAGCTCACTCTTACGGAGTCACAGCAGCCAGCTCCCCGGGGAAGGAGGAAGGCAGCCCCACGGATATAAGCAGCCTGGAGAGGAGCTTCCTGGCCCAGATCCTGGCAGGAGATGGAGTTCTCCTGGCACAGCCGGCTTCCTGGCCACAGAGGCCCCAGAACGGGAAGGCAGCAGGGGTGGGGCCTGGAGGAGGTGGTCGGGGAAGGAGAGGAACCAGGCTTCAACAGGTAGTTTTCATGGCAGTGGGGACATCTAGAGATGTGGCCAGGTTTAATGCTCATGTGCCCTAAAGAGGCTTCATTTTAAGGATGTGACATTTGAAGCTCAGAGAGGGTAAGTAACTTGCCTAGGGTCACCCAGAAAGGAAAGAACAGTCGGGATTTGAATCCTTGTGGGCTTGGCCTTCAAGGCCATATGGGGCATGGCTTACATCCTGCTGGAGTCGGTCCACTGAGGCGGTGATCTGCGTGGCTCCGGGCTGCCCGTAGTTCTCAGCCAGAGTCCGGTTCAAGTGCTGCTTCAGTTCATCACTCAGCTGAGGAGGGTAGGAGCGAAGTCCCCATCAGCGGGACCAGCCCCACCCCTGCCCTGGCACCGGGCCCACTTCCAACTCCCCCCAGCTAATTCTAGAACACTGCGGACTGTGGATGGTGTGATGCGGAGGTTTCTCAACAGCGTAAGGGACCATCAGCCAGAGACAGTGTAGAAGATGGCTATGGAGAGGAAGACACAAAAACTGAGCCCCAACTTAGGGCAGAGGTGTGATGGGCAGAGCTGAGAGAGGCTGGGGAGATGGCTCAGGTAAAGGGTCACATCCAGAAGCTGGTGGGAGGCGGTGGTGAGGCCAGACACAGGGTGCTTTGAAATGTCTGTTGATCTTAACTGTGATCATGAGGTGATATTGAAAATACTTATAATTGTTACCCTGTGGGCATCATAGCAGCACTGGCTTGAAACAACCAGCAGGGTCGCACTGTCTCTACCAGCCAAACATCACCATGGTCATGACCTCGAATCCCCGATTCAGAGGGCTCAAGGGTGGGAGTGGATAGGACTGACTCTAGGACTCACTCCATCCTTGCTTAATCCAGGCAGGCAAGGCCCGATCCTGTTTCGGGGTCTGGCATGTGACCCTGGCCCAGGCCTTTCTTCTTGGATGTCTCTGACAGATGGATTCATCCTCTAGACCATTCTTGGAAGGGGAGAGGGATGACGCAATGTCCCTTGGGAAGCCCCCGTCCCCAGCTCCCATGTGGAAGACATCAGCATCCACAGATGCAGCACAGAATTGCTGGAGCCAGGACCAGCAGCTGGGATGCAGATATGTAGGGGGATTGCCGGGGCCTGGGAAACAGGACCGCCCTTGTGCCTTCCTCAGCTTCCCTCATCACAATGCAAACCTCCCTACCCACATTGCTTCTTCAGGACACTGACAGAGGATGCAGGAGGAGGAAACGTCACTTACCCTCTGGTAATACACATGGGCCAGGACTCCCGCCACCAGCTCAACCAGGAAGATGACGAGCAACAGGCAGAAATACTAGCAGCAAAGAGAGAGGACGGTCACCACTGGGATCGGGTTGCTGCTATGACAAATGTTTCCCCACAGTGGTGGGGGTGGTAGAGATACCTGCTGGGACCCCTATCATCCATGCCATCTTCCTCCTGGATGTACCAGCCTCACTGGCTGCTGGCACCAAGTTCCCCACTTACTCCTTCCCTCTTTGGTCTGCTGACAATTCAGTACGGCATGTACCCATCCAATATGTATTAAATACATGCCATATGCCAGATGCCAGGTAGCGTAAGTAAGACAACTATTGCTCTCAAAGTTATTGATGGTGGGAAGACAGATGAGTGACTGCAATGCTGTGTTACAAATGCAACTACAGGGTAAGCTCTAGAAATGGTGGGAGGCTCCTGGTAGGGTGGGCAGTCAGAGAAGGCTTCCTGGAGGTGGTGACGCCTAAGTAACATCTTTAAGGACTGAATAGGCATTTGCTAAGTGAAGGAGGGAGGCACATTCCAGGAAGAGGGGAGAACAAGTGAAAAGCCTGGAGCCTGCAGGAAGCATGGGGCATTTGTGTTCAGGGAGTGGAGAGTGCCCTTGTAGTTGGAATGCAGGGACCAGCGTGGACTGTGACAACCAAGGCTCAGGAAAAAGCAAATCAGAGGTCCAGGGGAAGGTGATTCCTGTGTTGTCTTTCAGCCCTGATGCCCATTTCCTGTTCTACATGGCCCTGCAGGGGTTCTCATTACTGCTTCTCCCACCTCACAGCCCTGTTGCTGCTGCTGGCTTCCCAGCCGTGCATTCAGTGTGACCTGTAGAAGGACATGGGCCCTGCTTCCTTCTCACTCCCACCTGGCTTGCACAGTCAGGAGGGCTCCTGAGACCCTGCTCGACCAACTCTGCTTGCAGGAGCCAACAGGCCTAGAAGGCATGTTGGGACTCCCTCTCTCCCCACCCTGGAGGAGCACGGAGAGGGGGATGAAGCTGGCTACAGGCAGCCACGGAGCTCACAGACAGGGACAAGGAGAGAGAATAGAGAAGAGAGGAGAGAGGGGGAGCACTACTGATGGAAATTGGCCCCACTGTGGGGAAGCTCAGCCAGACTCATGAGCACCTGCCACCCAGGCTGCCCCCGGGCACTGCCCGCCCACCTGGCCACAGCAGGGCAGCTACCCGTGGTCACTGGGATGGCTGGATTCTAGGGAAGGCCCAGCCTGTGGGTGAGACTGAGACTCTAGGGCTCACCCAGCAGGGAAAGGAGTGTGGGCAGGGGGGATACGGTGGCGGGTGGCGGCGGAGCGGGGGCGGTGCCCAGGATAGACAGAGCATTTCAGAGGCAATGCTAATCCATGGGCCCATGGGCCTTGCCCAACCATCTCCTGCACGACTCAGCAGGGAGCCTGGCATGGGCAGGGATTAAGGAATACGGGAGAGGGGCCATTTCTTTTCACAGGAAAAGAACTGTGGTCCAAGAGCAAGGTTTCCTTTCAAATGAAGTGCATTACCCACCTCCTCATTGCAATTTTACTGTGTCCTATAGGCTCCCAGCATCAGGGACACAGAGTTTCCAGTCTCAGAATAACAGTGTCAGGCCTAGCCCCATCATTTGTGGGGCCTGAGGCCAAGAGCACAAATGCAAGGTCCCTGCCCCTTCCTTTCCTACCCCAGGCTCTTCGCTGCATCAGGAAAAACCTCCAGCTCTGTGTGCCCCTCCCCCAGGGTCAGATGCCCCTTGCGGGATGGGAGGTGTGTGGAGAGGGCTGGGTGTGGTGCAGGCTAGGGGCACATATGCCAGGGGTCTAGTCAGCCTCAGGACATGCTTGCAGATGCTGCCTGCAGGCACAGGTTGTCTGGACAGAGGATTCACTCTCCTGGGTCCCTGGGAGGAGGTCAGGAAGTGGCGGGAGGGAGTTGCAGATTCCACAAGGGGATGTTCCCTCTGCCCTACGGACTTTCCACTCCCTGGGGAGGAGTGTGGTTGAAGGGGGCCTCAGGACAGGGGCCTGGGTCTGCGTGTGGTACTGAGTGGTATGCAGGGTAAGCTGAGGCAGGAGGCTGAAGAGAGCGTCTGTGGATGGTCCTCCTGCTTGAGGAGCCTCTGAGAAGCAGGGCCCAAACACTGAGGAAAGCTGGGGGAAATGTCAGTGGACTTGGGTTGGGTCCAGGCTCCACCACATGCTGGCTCTAGCTGGATGGCTGCTAGTGCTTAGGTGCAAATTAGAAAAACGTGGCTCAGCAAGAGTTGCATGGGCTGGATTTCAGCCTTCTTTGGTCCCCTCGTGTAGGACGCAAAGTTTAGGGACAAGGAGGACCCAACGAGGGGGAAATGTACTTTCCAGTGATCTAACCCGCCTCCTGCCCTCCCAGAGCTCCAGGTCCCACAGCATGAGGGGTACGGTCCCTGTCAGCCAGAGGCAGGCGTAGCCAGCCCATGCCAGAGTGTGATCCCCCTGGGAGAAGCCCGGCCCATCAGACAGAGCATGGCTACACATTCACCCTCACCCCACCCAGGGTGAGGCATCCTTGTTTCTGAGTCTCCTTGACTCAGGGGCTCTCCCCTGCCATGCGCTGCTGGGCCCTGCGGCTCCTTTCTGACATGCGTGCCCTTCCTGCCTGCTCCAAACTTCCCTCCACCATCCTCAGCTACGGTGCTGAGGCCGGATCCCTCCTGCTGCACAGGACCTGAAGGCATTGATGCCAGTGGCTCCCAGAGACCTCTGGGGCATGGGAGGAAGAGGTGATGGAGTGCCCCTGACAGGAGCACCCAGGCTGCTGGCAGCTAGGAGAGCCACATCCTGGCATCTCTCCACCTTCCTTCTCTCCACCACCACTGTGAGCTGTGAGTCAGGCCCGTAGGATACTCCTGGATAGCTGGCAGTGTCACGCCACTTCTCGGGGGAAGCCACTGCCCCAGTTACTATTGAAGACGGGGTGGGGAACAGGGAGGATGGGGAGGTAGAGATACTGAACCTCACCCATTGGTTTAGTGGCTGGCTAAATTAGTACATGCTACCCCTGCACAGGCTGGTTCAGAGGCATCAAACAGGCTATCTGACCTGCGGAGTGGTCAGGAGGAGGGGAGAGAGCTTGGCAGTGGCGGTGGTGTGTGGGGATAGCCTTCTCGAGCTCCAGTGTGTTAAGATGCCTGGAAGGGGAGTGAGGGCCTGGCCTGGGGCTTCAAGGGGACTGAGGCCGGGTGCTGGTGGGCACAGGTGCTGGCTCCAGGCAGCAGCTTCCACAGCAGGGAGGCTGCGGGTGTGTGACTCACCTGGACAGGTGTGTGACAGGCCCAGGAGGCAGGCAAAGGGTCCCTCATCAAGATGCTGGGACTTCAGCCGGGTGAGGTCATGGGCTCTGACAGACCTGTCACCTCTGCCCCTCCACCCTGCACCTTACCCAGCCTTTCCTGACTCCCTGGGTCCGGCGCGATCATCTCAGGGCCCCTGCGGCACACGCTGGCTCTGTGTGCAAAGCTGAAAAGTGTTCCTGGTGTTGCTGCACACAGTTCTCTTCACACAGGCCAAGCGTCCAGCCTTTGGGCCTTTGCCCTGCCTGTCCCCCTGCCTGGAATGCTGGTGCCTACCTGTCCTTCCACACCCAGCTCGGCTCAGTCTTGGCTCCACCAGGCTATCCTTGGGCAGGAGCAACTGCCACTCCCCACCGTCTGAATGCCTGCAGCGCGTCATCTGCTGTCTCCTGACACCTGCACTCTCTGCTTTGCCCTTCTCTCCTCAGCTGGACTGGGCTTCACCTCTGTGTCCCTCCCCTTCGCCTGCCGTGCGGTTCCTCAGTGTAGGTCATCACCGGATGAGTGACACAACTTTACCCATTGCTCCGTAGCACTGCTCTTGCTTCAGGTGTTACCACTCTGTCCCCTAGCATGACTGTGAGCTTCGGAGAAACAGGGACCACATCTGAGGTTGCTTCTGGCTCCTCCACAGTGCCTGGTATGGTGCTGGGTCTAGACATAACGCTTAGCAGACATCCCCTGATAAAGACGCAGGAGTGCACTTTCTAATAAAGTACACCTATGAGACAGCAGAAACTGGCTGGAGCATAACCAGCCCCATGCTGCGGGCAGTAGCTTAATCTTTTTCTGATCTGAGAGTAGCATAGCACAGTTACCTTAGTTAAATTTACACCAGTGGTTCTCAACCTGGCACAATTTTGCAACCAGTGGGTATTTGGCAAAAGGAGTATCTAGAGGGTCGAGGCCCGGATGCTAAGCATCCCACTGGGTGCAGGGCAGTCTCCCGCAGTGAAGAATTATCTGGCACAAAATGCCAGCAGTGCCGAGGTTGCAAAACCCTGGGTCACACATTTACCTTCAGGTTCTCAGGCTGATGCTGGGACTTGATTTGCGTATGTGTCCCTATGCACTGTGGGAGCCACAAAAATAAGATCCAAGGAATGTTACCTAGCTCCCGAAGAGCTGGAAACAGAACATGGACAGAAGCATGTGCAGCACTGTACCTGCCTGGGAGGGCACCTCTGCGGCAGAAGGCTACTTGCCTTGACAAAAGGAAGGATCAGGGAAGCCTATATTGCTTCAGCTCACATCCCCATGGGACCCCGGGGCTGGAATTCCATGAGGGAATTCCATGAGGCCAGGTACAACCCAAGAGCTCTCAGTGTTTCCTTGGGGATCACCTGTTTTCTGAAGCAGCTGTGGTTTCCTCCAGTTGCCTCAGTGAGCTGGGGAGGGGTGTGACGCCATAAGGTTTGTGTTAGGGTTGACTCTAGGAAGCATCAAGAAGGTTCTGGAAACACCTTTTGCCTTAAGTTGGGTTTGGTATTGCTTTTTGAATTATTATACAAAAGTCAGTAATAAGAAATTCTCAGCCCATATTTCCATGTAGTTAGAATTCACAGGACCTCATGGTGTCCTGCTTTTCCTAGCTCACTGTGCCAGAGAGGGCCCCCGCTCCACCAATAGAGCCCAGAATTCTCTGCAGGGAGCCTCCAGAATCACTGGCCCATGGCTTAGGAGGCAGTACCCCAATTCAGGGCAGGCTGGCCTTGCTTCTCAAAACTTAGTAGAGGAGGAGAGGGCAGGCAGGTTTTCTGTAGTGGGAGCAATAGACAGGCATCCCTTCCAGCAAAAGAAAAAAAAATAACCCTTTCTTGGCAGAGGCAGTGCCTTACTCATCTGCACAGCCCTGGAGCACCAAGCCTAGCCTAGCACATGGTACCCACATGTAACAGTAACAGCCCACGTGTACAAGCTTTCCCAGGTGCCAGCCCCCCTTGCAAGCACATTGCATGGTCTCTCCTGTCCACGCTTGGAGATGAGTACTAGCATTGCTCATCACATTGCCACATGGGCACGAGCATCAGCCTCGCTTTATAGATGAGGACAGGAGCTTGGAGACGCTAAGTAGCTTGCTGAAGGTCACATAGCAAGTACGTGGTGAGCGAGGAACAGAACCCAGGAGTTCCAGCTGCAGAACCTGTGCTCTGACCTGCTGCATGGTACTGTCCCCACTAAATGGGGGAGGGATGGACGGATGAGCTCACTGGGCTCACTTAGGGTGGATTCAGCATTTTAGGGCAGGTATGGTTCAGGTGAACACAGGGGTGTCAGTGCTCCTCCGCAAAGGACAGAGTGTCAGGAGAGGTGAGGAATGAGTAGGTGAAGATGGAGAGAATAGAAGGAAGCCCAGGGAAGCCCTCCCTGGGCGCATAAGCATCCGTCACTGCCCTGTGTTCAGTCCCCTGCCAGCTGTCCTGGGCACCAGTGGGGCAGGCAAGAGATAATCTAGGTGGCCCTCCCCCCACCTCCCCCCTGCGCAGCCGGCTTTCCTCTTTGCCAAGAATGGCACGAGAGCAACTTTCACCTGCTCCTCCCTGCTACTCCACCCCTTGGCTCATCCTGGGTTCATGGCCATGGATTCTAATGCCTGTTTCTGCCCCCTCTGCCCTTCACTTTATTCAACCCAGCCTGCTCTTACCTCAGAAGCTAGGTAAGGCACTGTTGTACAAGCCTGAGAAACACTCCTGTGTGTGCACACAGAACCGTGCACAACGAAGCCTCCAGCCTCTGTGCCTTTTGCTCTCGCTGTTCCTCCTGCCTGGAATTCCCTACCCCAACCCCATTTGTGTTCTACTTATTGGCTGCTCAGCCACCAACACTCTCAGCTCAGGCACAGCCTCCATGAAGCCCTCCCTGAGCCAGAAGTTTCTGAGCCATGGTCTCACTGTTAGCATCCTTGTTTCTGAGCTTCCCTGACTCTGGGGCCTCCCTGCTTGTCTCGCTCCCTGGGACTGTGTACACGCTGATCCCTGCTTGCCCTCCTGGCTCTGATCTTTACCTGGTTCTGCCTTCATGGTCCCTGTGCCCTTGGTGTGACCTGAACCTATCCCACTGACCTCCAGCTCCACTCTGGTTTCTGTGACTGGTCTGCCCCTGCAGGTCCAGGGCTGCCGGTCCTTCCAAAATCGATCCCCTGTGGTCTGACGGAAACAGGTAACGAGAATTCCAAAGAAAGCTCCTGTAGCATCTGCCCCAGAGTCCTCCATAAAAACTATCCCATTTCAAAATATGCCAAGCTGGAGCAGTGTGTTAAGCATAGAATGGGATCCAAATATTCATCTTTCCCCATGTAGCAAAGCGATTTTATTTCCTATTAATTCTTTAATGGAACAGTTTAAACTAGAAGCAAAACTGGATATTTTCTAAAACTATAGATCCAAAGTGAAGCTAGAACAGCATAGTACTCTCTGAACCAAACCAATTTTTTTTTTTTTACACGAGGCCTTGCAGGAAATATGCAGAAATATTTCACTGTGACATTAAGGTGAGTAATTAGATATTGAGTCCTTTTTATTTCTTTTTTTTTTTGAGATAGGGTCTTGCTTTGCCACCCTGGCTGGAGTACAGTGGTACAATCATGGCTCACTGCAGCCTCGAACTCCTGGGCTCAAGCGATCCTCCCACCTCAGCCTCCTAAGTAGCTGGGACTACAGGTGCATACCACCATGCCTGGCTAATTAAATTTATTTATTTATTTATTTGTAGAGATAGGGTCTCACCATATCGCTCAGGCTGGTCACAAACTCCTGGTCTCAAGCAATCCTCCCAGCCTGGCCTCCCAAAGTGCTGGGATTATAGGCATGAGCCACCATGTCCTGCCAGAAATTGAGGGTTGGACTTAACATCGCTTGCGGGCAAGCTGAGCCCCAGATAGAGATTTTGGGGCACATTCACTGGTGCATAAGAGACAGGGCAGCTCAGCATCAGCTGGTGCCATCTTTGAGGTAAGTTTGAAGAACTTTATAAAACTGGAATTTCAAAATTTCTCCATTGGATTGATTCTGCCACAAAGAAGGGAGCTTCACTGAAGCATTCCTCTTCTGTATCTCCAGCCATTCTGAATAATTAGAGATAGGGTTTGTGAAGCTTCCTGCCAAGCCATATCTAGTCAAGGCAGTCCAGGCAGGTTGGGATGAGAGGCAGGTACTAGCCTATTCTCAGAACAGGGCATCAACAGCCAAAGAAAACCCAAGACCCTGCCAAGGTTAAGTTGCAGGGAGGAGAGCCCAGCCCGAGGCTCCCAGCTGGCTCTGTGTGTGAGAGGATTACAGAGGAAGCCGGAGGGAGGGTCAGGGAGCTCAGAACCACCCGCCAAACAGGAAAAGTGAAGCCAGCTGTTTCAGTGGCAACAGCCTAGGGGGAATTATTTTCTGGCAATTAACCATTAACTGCAGTGGGCTCAGAGGTGCAGCTGCCCGGCCCATTTGTGCAGAAAAGAGAGGATGTGGATTTGGGAGCCTTCAGCCATTCCTGTAACCAAGTGTCACTGTTAGAAGGATGGAGGTAACCTCTACCCCTCCTGGCCCCAGCCCAGGGCTCAGCGCCTGGGTTGTCCAGCTGCAACCACGCCAAAGGTTGGGATTCAGCCATTTCACCTGGAAGTGGCTTTACAGTGAGGGCTCAAGAATGTGCTCTGGCCAATGTCTGATACTGACTTGTGGTTCTGGGAGCAGAAAAGGGGGCCAGGGCTAGGGTGCAGAGAGCCGGTGGACAGAGAGAGGGCATGCTGGAAGAGGCAGGGAGGGAAAAAAACTGGGTCTTGGGGAGGCAGCAAGTCTTCTAGAGGCACATCAAGAAAATGTGGCTGAGGCCCTTCAATGTCCCAGCCCAAATGTTGGGGGTCTAAGGAGATCACACTGTGTGTGTTCCAGTGGGCGGTGAGGGTCATGGAAGGAGAACACAGTTTCAGAACTCCAAGCCAAAGACAGGCATTTACTAGGATTCAAGCTGGGACTACTGAGAGCCCAGTCTGAACAGGCTGAGTGAGAGCAGCCCCCAGACTGGGCATTAGGGCCTGGCCAGCTGGCTGGGGCAATGAGGGCCAGACCCCCAACAGGGAGACACGGCACAGGGAACTCAGAGGATGATGGTGTTCAGCGGATTCTGGCATGAGGAAAGTGACCAATTGCTACTTCCTCCCAGTGCCCTGGAATTACCCAGACTTTCCCATTGGCTGTCTTCTTGCAGGCTGTGGGAGAGATAGTACAGCCTGAAGGCACCTGTGCAAGGGGCAAGGGTAGGACAAAGAACAGAGGGGAGGACAAAGAACAAGAAGGAGACACCAGGCTCCAGGGAACAGGGCAGCCTGGAAGTTAGGGAAAGCCCAGAGAGGTCAGAGCCTCTGACCAAATCCAATACAAATTTAAACTGCCCGCATGGTCCTTTGCCTTTTAATACAGGCGCCTCATGTTCCTCACTAGACTCTAAGCCTAGAACTGGGTCAGAGTCCCTTTTTCCCTCCTCCCCTTCTCACCCTGCCTTGTGCCCAGCAGAGCAGGACATGCCAGGAATGTGCTGGAAATGCTTGTTGATGTTGATGAATTAGGCAGTCCCATCAATGCAATATGGAACATCCACTGCAGAAAATCGGAGGGAGGTGGTGGTGGAAGCTAATTGGCCATAGAACCACCCCATCAAGACAATGCTGCTGGATTGTGGTGATCAGGTACACCCGCTGCATCCCGAGAAGGATGGATGTCAACACAAACCCTATGAGTCTCTTGAGCGGTCAGCTCTTCAGGATGTTTGCATCCTGCTTCCCAAGGAGCCTTCAGGGTTCTGAGGTCCCCTGGTCCATTCCCCTGCCTGCACTGCATAAGCCACGCTGGATGAGGAAAGGACTCATGCTGGAGAGGGGTCGGGGTTCCCCAAGTCCTGGCTATAGAATGGTGGGGGCAGCTGACTCAAAGGTTAAAGAGCCACCAAACAGATGAGGCAAGGCCCACCTTGGAGCTGGGTGGCTGATGGAGCAACATAACAGAATGTGTAGGTAAGAAACGAGCCAGGGAGGACACAGTCCAGTTTCCAGGCATGGGGACTCAGGCTCTCCTCACCCTGAACTTCCCACCAGCGCCAGCTACTTCAGAGGATGTGGCCCAGCTCAGGCTGCAGGGCCCTGGGAGCCATGGCCCTCAGAATAACTCTTATTTATTTAGGTTCCTTCTTAAGGGAGCTTGGTCATGGTGACGGCAATAGTGATGTGAATGTTCATTAGAGCCACATTTTTACCATCTTTTTATAATGTGGTGACTTGCTTCCCAGGACCTGAAAATACTTCTTCGTTATCCTCACACATCATCCTGTATAAAATGGCAACACAAGGAGGCAGGCAGAAGCTGAGTGACTTACCCGAGGTCCCAGAGCAAGCTAGGCAAGGTACTCGAAAACCAGCTTTTGAACCCGAGCCCATATATTTTCACCTTTGATTGTGGACTTTAGTGCCCTGGTTGACCACGTCTTGGCCTGTTGGATGGAGGTGTGGCAATTCTGGATCCCCTTGTTTTAGAAATTGGTTTTTAGAACTTCTTACTTTTTTATCCATCCCCTAAATAGAAAAGAACTCCCAATAAAGACCCAGTTTAGTCTGAATCATCCACCATGATCTTCATTTGGCTTAAAATATAGAAGTTTTCAGAGCCCCCATTCACAACTCTAAAAATATCCCTTTCTTTTGATCTAGGTGGCCTCTGTTCTGGTCATTGACCATAGGCTCAGATGGCCTGAATTATCTCTCTCATGCAGGCTTTGCTAAAAAAGATCTGGTGTGAATAATTTAAGCCCCATTCCTGTTCCTGCCTGGCAGATTTCCAATGCCAAGCTGATCATCATTTCAGCACCAGCAGAGATGTGCTATTTCTGTCCCCGACGGCCACGTCCTTCTTGGGAAAGTGACTTTGAGGAGCTGCAGATGAGCTAGGAGGAAGGGCTGTGCCAGGACAGACATCGTGCCTGTGTGGAAGCTGGATGGTCCCCCTCTGGGTCATTCTTTGGGAACTCCTCCCCTGCTACTCCCGATCCAAGGTAGTTGCACATCATTCAGATGCCTGGTCTTTCATCTTTCCCTCTCCTCCTCAGGGACCACTTGGTCTAGTGATAGACTCACTGCCCTTCTCCTTTGGAGCTTCCCTCACCTGTCAGCTGATTCAAGATTTCAAATGGAAGTTAAACATGGAGGGGACAAAATGAAATGAAACAAGGAAGGAACTGCTAAGAGCCATACAGCACTTTTACACTGCCTTAACCACACCACTTGACTCTAAATGGGAGCCTGGGTTTTAAAATTCCTACCTGTGTTAGCCCAAGAAAGGTTGTACAGGCACCTTCTTGGTTTAAACAATCAAGTGCTCGATGCTTCACGGGCTGTTGGGCCAGGATGTGGATTACTCAGGATCCCCAGCTTTACCTCCTGCTCTGTCCTTGGGCCAGTTGTCATTGGTTCTTTCACAGAGGGGCAGATAAAGCAAAGAAAGCAGATTCTAGGCCATGGAGTTTGCTGTTTGCTAGCGCCCTGGCAGAGATGCCTGTCTCCACAGTCCTGCGTTGGTGGCTGAGTGCATGTGTGCGTGCATATGCATGTGTGTGCATGCATATGCATGTGTGTGCACGAATGTGTGTGCGTGCATGCACACTTTTTTCTGACCTCAGTTTCAAGCTGTTGCCTCCTTGATGTGTCTGTTTAGTGACTTGGACCAGAGAGATCACCAGTTCTGTGTGGGATGGGAGTGAACGCAGGCAAGTCTCTACAGAAGAGGGTAAAGTGGAGCTGAGAAGAAGCAGGGAATCTTGCACCAGCCTGTGCAACAGCTGCTGTGCCCCTCTCTGCCTCAAGCCCCAGAGGGATAAGGCTCACTGCCTGTTGACTCCCCGAAGTGCAGAAGGGTAGGGCAAGAGGTGCCCAGCAAGGCTTTGGGCAAGCACAAGGCCCTGACCTTCACTGACTCTCCACATCTCTCCCACATGCTCTGGGCACAGGGCTTGGTTCCCTCTGGGCAGGCCATCCAGACTAAGTGACAGCCAGGTTGAGACACAGAGGCTGAAGACATTCATTCTTCATGGATCAGCCTGGATGTCTGGACAGATCTCATGAACAGATGGTGTAAGAGGAAGTGTGGAATGGGAGGCTGTGATCAGTGGCTTGGAGAGCACAGCGTGGTCAGGTGCTAAAGCTTAGGCTTCCCTTCTGGCCTTTGAGATGGCCAAGGGGAAGCGCTCCTATGATTACACTATTCTCCAAAAAATCCAATAATTCTGAGTGTCTCCCACTAATGCCTGGGTGACCCACACACTCACCCACCCAGTGTCTTTCAGCCTGTAACCTTTGGATGGAGCACTGGACTCTGTGACCCTCAAGGTCCCTTCTAAGCTGAATATACTCTGACCCAGGTGTGCTGTTCTTTCCTTACTATAATGGGAGCAACGAGGCACTGAGATGCCTGAGGCTTCTAGGGTCCCCTCACTACACCCCTGTCTCTTGCCCTAGGGTTCCGGGCTAGGTGCTGGAGGGGACCCTCCCTTGTTACCAGCCAGATCTCCAAAAGCCACTGCTCCATGAAGACCTCTCCAGAGATGGAGGGCAGGGTGTGCCCTGCACACATCCTCCCCCTTGGCCTCTGGTCCCTCTGCCTCCCATCAGGCTTGTCCTCCTCCCCAGGGAAGCAGACTCTTAGAGGTGATTCCAACAGACAGCAACGCACAGTCCAGCTCCAGCCATTACTTGCTCCACATCTCAGCCCAGTTTCTTCATCTGGAAAATGGGGGTGAATATGACCTCTTGGGTTGCAGAAGAGTGTGGTGGGTCAGAGCGTGGGCTTGGAGGCAGACTGCATGCCACTCACCAGCAGTGTGTATCATGCATTTTAAAACTTCGCATTTTTCTTCTGCCTCCACATCCCTACATGCAGACTGTGCGCACCTGCTGGGGTGACCAGGTGCACCAGTGTGATAGGGCTGGCTCTGCTACAAGTTCCCCTTGCTACCCTCCCCTGACTGTGACCTAGTGACATTCAAATGCACCAACGGAATCCCCTCCTGCCTTTTCTTATGGCTCTACCCTGACCCCCAAGGAAAGGGTCTCACCCACTCTCTGTTCCCTGCCTGCTTGGGGGAGCCCTAGTCTTTGGCTCTCCGCCCGTGTGACCCCCACCTCCTGTTGTTGTGTGCAGTGAATCTGTCTAGGACAGGGTGTCTGATCTTTTGGCTTCCCTGGGCCACACATAAAACACAGTAACGACAGCTGATCAGCTAAAAAAAAAAAAAATCACAAAAAAAATCTCATAATGTTTTGAGAAAGTTTACGGATTTGTGTTGGGCCGCATTCAAAGCTGTCCTGGGCTGCATGCGGCCCGTGGGCTACGGGCTGGTCAAGCTTGGTCTAGGACCTGTGAGTCTGGTAAACTCTCTTGTCCTGTGCCTCTCCTGTGCCCCCTCTTGTGGCCACACCTGACTGACCATCACCTAAAAGAACACAACTGCAAGGTGACTCTGGGCAAATTGCTTCACCTGCCTCTGCTCTCCGTTTCTTCCCCGTCCATACACAGAGTAAGAGTTGCTGCTCTTTGGGGCAGGGCGAGGACTGAGTGAGTTGATGTGCATGAATGTCAAGTGCAGCGCTTGCTCGGCACAGAGTTCAGACTACCGGGACTTTGCAGGTTGCTGTAGTGAGGATAGAGGGAGGTGGCTCTAGTGAATAGTGGCCATTTGTGTTCTAATTGGGCTCTGGGAGGAATGCAGGGCCTGTTTCCCAGTGCTGCAGGGGACCACTGGCCTTCAGTGGCTCCACAGAAGCAGGACAGATGGCTCTGGGTCAGAGGAAGGCGCTCGGTGGGGGCTTCTGTATTCTTTCTTGGGCTGTCCAGAGGTGAGTCCTGTCCTCTCTAAACAAGATGACCCGACGGAAGGAAGGAGGCAGGTGAGAGCACGTGGCTTGGCAGCCTGCTCATGGGCAGACCTCCAGGCGTGAGGGCCAGAGGCTCAGCCTGAAGCCTGAGGCTAGGCTGAAGGCCCTGCTTGCTAACAGGTGCAGAGCCGGACAGGACACAAACAGGCTTGCCGACACTGCAGAGGAGAGGGGTTCTTTCTCTGGGCCCAACTGCACTGATCCCCATAAGCCTCATGGCTGGTCAGTGCCACACAGAGGGAACATCCCCGGGCTGCGCTACATGCCTGGTTTTATTCAGTCACGTCACGTGCCTTCATCCAGCTATGTTGGTCAGACCTGGGATGTGCTACGTGGCTCTCAAGGACCTCAGTTGACCGACCTGCATCACCCTGCTGGAAATCCTCATGGTAGGCCCCATGTGGGGGTGGGTGGTGGCATGGTTGGCTCTCAGCACACCTGTCCCACCTGCTGAAAAAGAGCTCAAAACCCAAACTCTGGGGGCCTTCACTTTAGGAGACGTAGGAGATAAGCAACCAATTTTAACACACGAGCCTAATTTAGATTCTAACTCAAATGTAAACACAACAACAACAGTTTATGGGTCAACTGGGAAGATGTGAAACTGCTTGGTTATTTCATGATATTAAGGAATGACTGTTAATTGTTTTAAAGTGTGATAATGGTAATGTTATCATGTTTTCTAGAAGAGGGTCCTTAAGTTTAGAGATACACACTGAAACTCTAACAGATGACATGCTGTCTGGGACTGTTTCAGAATCACCCTGGGGTTAGGAAGTGGGCAGGGTGCAGGTGAGAGAGTGGACGGAACCAAGATCGGCTATGAGATGGTAATTGTTGAACTCTGGGTGAAGGGAAGATGGAGCTTCATGAAAAACACTCTTTATTTTTGCATATCTTTGAAAATTGCCATAAAAAAACCTAGAAAGAGGAAGAGGAAGAGGAGGAGGAAGAGGGAGAGGGAGAGGAGAAGGGGAAGTAGGAGGAAAAAGAGAATAAGAAGGAAACGGGATAAGGAGGAGGGGAAGGGTACAGAATAGGAGAAGGAGAAGGAGAGGACCAGGAAGAATAGGAGAAGAAGAAATAGAAGGAGGAAGAGGAAGAGGAAGAAGGGGAGTGAGAGGAGACAGAGATGGAGATACGGAGAAGGAGCTGCCACTGCAGCTACTGAGACGCCTGCTTGCTTGGGTCCTAAGAACCTGGAGACCGTGGCAAACCCCAGACCCAGGAGCAGCCACCCCTTCTCGGGCACTCCCACAGCCTCAGCCCCTCCCACTCCAGGGCTGGGGCCCCTCTCACTTGCTGGAAACCTGACTGGGTGGTGCAGGGCTCCCCATCCCTGCAGAGCACAGGGCGGGCACTGACCGTGGAGAGGCAGCCCTTCCGCTCCCAGAGGATGGCACCGAAGCCCAGGAAGCCGGTCACCATGACAAGTACGCCCGCAAAGATGAGGATGTAGGCGGAGGCGGCAAAGGTGCTGGAGGCCAGGACGCTGAGGTAGCCACTCTTCTCCACCAGGGTCCAGATGCCCACAGCCAGGACGGCTGCTCCCCCGACCTGCAGGAGACCACCGGGTTAGAGCAGGGGGTGGCGGGGGCCTCGGCAGCTGCTATCCGTTCAGTGCCCACAGGGTGCCAGGCACTTCTCTTGCACTGGCTCATTCAGTCCTCCAAAGGAGGCGAGAATGGTATGGTTACCCAATTTTACAGATGAGGAAATCGAGGCTGAGAGAGGTTAGGAGACTTGTCCAAGGTAAGCAACCTGCAGAGCCAGGTTTTGAATCCAGGTCCGACTGTGAATTCGGTGCTTTTTACCCTGGTGGCCTATTGCGTATGAGGCCAGGGGAGAGGACTGCAGTTTCAGGGATGATCAACGTATCTGAGTCCCTTTGCTTCTCCAACTTTTCACCTCCCCAACTCCTGCCACCCCTGGCTCCTATCCCTTCAGAGCACTTCTTCCCTCTGTCCGCACTTCCCTGGTGGGGCTCGTTCGAGCACCGCCCCTTGTTTAATCCTTATGTTTGCCCATTGGGGAAGCACAGCTGGGCTTTTTATCCCTACTCTACGAGGAAGAAACTGAGACCCACGGAGGAAAGGTAAATTGTCCAAGGTCCTGCCTGTAGTTGGGGGCAGGGTTAGGGGCAGAGACAGGAGGAGAACTCAGAGCCCAGGGCCTGCCCACTCAGTCACACTGCCTCCATGATTGAAGAGTCAGGGTTCTTGACAGGCTGGAGCCGCCTGGGACTGCAGGAGGAGAAACTTTTTTGCTAATTGTCTGATTCCCCTTTGGTCCTGAGAAGAGGGGAGGGATAGGACCCTCCTGATTTGCAGATAGGGGGATGCCTCCTTAGAAACTGGAGTACTTGGGAAATATAGCAGGGATGGCTCGGCTTGGCTGGTTCTATTTGCAATGAAGCCAAGTAACTCTTTCTGTGACTGTTGGACCCAGAAGGGCATAATGTGTGTGTATGCACACATGCACAGCATCTTCAGGGTGCCAGATGGGGAGTATGTGGGTGTTTGCCCAGGATTTGGGGACAGGACCCCTGGGACCTCTGACCGTCTCTGCCATCTGCTCCTGGGAATGTGGACTTCTGCCCGCTAGTCTCCCTGCCCCCATTTAAGGATGGGTCTCTTTTCTCTAATGGGTGTGGGATGCTTCCTCAAGGAGTCCTGGGCGTGGTCAAAGCTAGAGAAGTGCCCTGGGCTCTGTCCATGCCCCCTGAGCCTTGTCACTGAAAGGAGCTCCCCATCTGCCCCAGGAAGACTCCATATAACCTACCCTGTCATTTCCCAGTTCTCTGTTCTGGGCAGTCACAGACATCCGTTGAGCAAACGAACATGTATTTACCATTTTCTCTTCTGAGCTTTGCAACAGCTCTGTGAGCATGGGGCAGGGTGGCAGGGCACATATTCTGCATTTTGCAGATGAGGAAATTGAGGCTTGAAGAGAAT
The DNA here is from genome assembly GCF_000001405.40 of Homo sapiens. Classification (NCBI taxonomy): domain Eukaryota; kingdom Metazoa; phylum Chordata; class Mammalia; order Primates; family Hominidae; genus Homo; species Homo sapiens. The sequence goes on along the minus strand of NC_000012.12, from coordinate 30,962,428 downwards.
AAGACTGTGCCCAAGATTACACCATGAGTTTTAGAATTGAGATTCAACCCCATGTCTCCTGAGAGCAAATCCAGGACTCTGTCCCCAGATCCCACAGACTGGGCTGGGCCTGCTCCTCTACTCTGTGTTTTTAATAGATACTATTTCTTCAAAGTGCCATTTAATCTCCATTGGCACCTCCACCAGGTGGAAGAGCCAGGTGGAAGGACACCATCTGGGCTACAGCAAACAGAATGGGAGTGGCTATCACGCAGATTTCTTCAATTCCGTGATGCACACATTTTTCTCTCACATTTTAACATCTCTAAAATTGGGATGTATCTTATGACTGATGGTATTTTATAATTGTACTTGGCAGTAGTTTTTCTTAGTGGTACAAAAAACAATAGTGTGTCTTACCACTGATGATATCTTAGATTCAATGAAATCCTAGAATAGGTTTTAAAATTATCTGTGGGTATAGGTTATCTGCGGCTCACACAACCTCCATGACCAGTGAGGGATTTCCTGAGTTTAGGTCAATAAAATTGTGTAATGTGAGGGTTTGCAGCCAAATATCCTGCACGGAATTCTTTTTGCCCCCTTCAGCATGCCTGGAAGGCTTGGGTGAGGGTCCCAACTTTGCATAACTAGCGGTGTGACCTAAACATAGTCCCTTAACCTCTCCGGACCTCAGCTTCTTCATCTCTTAAATCAGGGAGTTGTATTAGACCAGTGGTTCCCAACCTGTAACTACTGGGAACCCCTTTGATTACTTTTCCCCAGGATCTAATGTTTTGAGAGCCTCCACCCCGTCCCAGTCCTTAGGCTTAGCTGTAAGGAATGAGAGGGTTTCATTCCTTTGGAAGACCTGCTTGGGACATGGTCATCTCTTTAGAAAACAAGCTTTTCTCTGGACAGGAAAATTAACACTGCTCACTGTTGGATGGGTCACCAGAGGGGGTCACGGGAGGGCAGAAGTCAGCAGCCTGGGTTCTAGTTCTGACTGTGTCCCTGACTAACCACATGATTGTGGGACAGATATGCAGCCCCTCTAAGCCTCAGTTTCTTCATCTGTAAACTGGGGGCACTGGATGGGACCATATCTGAGGTCCCTTCCATATGGTTAAACTGTCCCTGCTGGTACCAGAAGTCAAGCTTCTGTCAAAGAACCTCCGGCAAGATGGTTCTGAATTAATGGCTCATGGCTGTCACTCAAGCCGCCTGGAAACTGCCTAAGTCAGCAGAAAGCAGCAGAAGAGGCAGGAAGAGGGACTTGATGGAGTGGGGAGAGATCTGACCCCAGTGAACTATTCAACAACCATTGGCATACAGTTGATTCAACAGTATTTGGCTCTTTACAGAATCTAGCGTGGTTTTCCATGAGGGTAATAACTACATTTTTCTTTTTTTTTTTTTTCCTCGCTCTGTCGCCTAGTCTGGAGTACAGTGGTGCGATCTTGGCTCACTGCAACCTCCACCTCCCAGGTTCAAGCAATTCTCCCACCTTAGCCTTCTGAGTAGCTGGGATTACAGGTGTGCACCACCACGCCTGGCTAATTTTTGTATCCTTAGTAGAAAGGGGGTTTCATCAAGTTGGTCAGGCTGGTCTTGAACTCTTGACCTCAGGTGATCCACCTGCCTCGGCCTCCCAAAGTGCTGGGATTACAGGTGTGAGCCAGCGCGCCTGGGCAATAACTACATTTTTCAAAGCCATAGCCTGTGGCCGACTAGCCAGCAAGCCCTGCAGAGGGTGAAGCCAGGCGACAAGGATGCAAGCTGGCCAGGAGGGGCGGAGCAGGTCACCCCTGTTGTGTAATTTTAGGAACTTTATGTTCATAGGAAAGAAACATGATGGGGTGAAGCATTAACCTGAGTGGCTGCACATGCCTGAGGGGCCGAGAGAAATAAGGCAGCAGACCTGGAGGAAAGCAGGCAGAGGGTATAAAAGTAAATGTAGGCGTTTTTCTTTGTCTCGCTACCATAGGGCTTCTGCAATGAAGGAAGGAAAGGGATGGGGCAGGAGCCAGGAACACTTGAATCCCAATAAGGAAGGATCCTCTGCGGAGGGGAGTTCTCCACCCTCAGTGAGGAGGAGCCCATGGCTCAGGATGCGGGAAATGCACAGGGTGATGGGAAGTGTACAGGGTGATAGTAGACTTTGTGTTTACTGGCCACCTGCTACATGCCAAGCCCCACACTGGACTGAAAAGTCTCTGGGTTGGACAGGAGCTCACCCATGGGAACCACACTCATCATCTGTGCTCCTCCTCCCTGCTCAGTCTCATACATGGCGCCGCGCCATCACCCACCCACCCACCCACCCACAGACACCACAGGGTCACTGTAGGCTCCTCCTTCTCTCAATGACAACCATGTGCCAATTCCCCTCTGCCCTCAAACCTGTCTCCATCTCCCCGCCACACTGTCCACCTCGGTTCCCCACCTCAGTTGGCTCCCGGCTCCTGGCTCCTGTTCCGCCCACAGGCTGATCCCCCAAGGCACCCCCGGCTGAGAAGTCCCCACCAGCTCCCATGCCCCAGGCACCAAGCCCAAAAACTCTTTTGCATGGCCTCGGTGCTCTTACTGTCTGGCCTTAACCTGACTTTTTGGCATCATCTTCTGGTACTTTCTTCCCCCCACACCTCGGTTTTTTTTTTTTTTTTTTTTGAGACAGAGTCTCACTCGGTCGCGCAGCCTGGAGCACAGTGGCGTGATCTCGGCTCACTGCAACCTCCGCCTCCCAGGTTCAAGCGATTCTCCTGCCTCAGTCTCCTGAGTAGCTAGGATTACAGGCACGCGCCACCACGCCTGGCTAATTTTTGTATTTTTTTTCCTGGGTTTTAATCACTTTGAACTAAGTAGTTGCTTCTTCTTGAAAACAGTGTGGTTACCTAGTAACTCAGGCACTATTAGCAGAGTGGTAAACAGCGTGAACTCCAGGGCGTGGCGCGGTGTCCGAGTCCAAGCCTTCTGTTTACTGGCTGTGTGGATTTGGATAAGCAACACAGCCTCTGTGGGCCTCAGGGAGGCTCTCTCTTTTTCCTGCCCACCTTTCACGCATTGTTCTCTCTGCCCTTTCTCTTCCGTTGAACTCCTACACACCCTCTAAGGCCCATTTTGAGATTTTGAGTGTGGCACCTGCTCTGTCCTGGGCAGGTGAGTTCATCCCTCTCCTGCATGCCTGTGGTGCTGCTCACCTCACAGCAGCCCTTGACACTTGGGGCAGGGAAAGTCCCCTCACTCCCCTCAGAACGCGGCCCAGCACACGGCCTGGTACCCGGGAGCCGCCCCAGTGAGTGTGAGACTCAGTGGATGAGGCTCTGTAGAGGGCTGTGGAAATGGCATCTGCTCCCCTACCTGCCTCTGTCTGCCGAGCTTCTGGGGCAACAGCTAGTGTTTCTCTTTCCTGCTTTATGGCTGTTTTGATTTTTAAAGGGGCAGTCCACAAAGTCCCAGTAGTCCCAGAGAGGAATAGGCTTTTTCTCTGGGTCATTAAGAAGAGGCTCCTGGAAAGGCTGGGGTTGCGCCCTCGGTATCTTAAGGTCAGACTGATGCTTGGTTACTCTCATACTTTCTTTCAACCAATACCCACTGTGCACCTGCTACAATGATGCCACGCTCTTGGGCCATCAAGGGACCCATGCCTGACACTGCCACTGCCCCTGCCCCTGCCCCAGGATCACTTGTAGGACACTGGGTTGAAAGACCTGACTTAGTAACCACCAGAGTGACTTCTGCTATGACGGAGAAGTGAATGGGTCTAGTTTGGGGAGCAAACACAGCATGGGGGCTCAGGGAGAGGACTGGGAGACCAGGTCTGAACAAGACTCAGTTTCTTTTACAGAATGGCTTCCCATTCCCACATCAGAAGAGTCAGCTGAACCTTAGACTGCAGCCCCGAGAGAGCACAGCTGAGCCCTATACCCACATGCAGGCAGGGTGGACGGCACCCCAGTCCCACGCCCAAAATGCCGAGCTCTCCAGGAGGGCACATGAAAGCGTGCATCAGGTGCTGCTGCTCACCCTCCTCATGAATGACCTTCTCTGAGTGCCAGGCATGCATTTCTCCCCAGCTCTGCCCATGCTCCTGCTGCCTTGGTTTATGGAATCTTCAAGGATAGGCTTGTTATGCTAAGGGCTATTTCCCACTTTGAGGCATCCTTGTTTTTGGCTTTCTGGCTTTAAAGAGCCCTTGATAAAATAAATCAGAACACTACCTCCTCTGCTGTCTTCCCCAGTCCCATCTACCCCTATAACAAGAGCAAAATCTCATGAGTCTTACTGAGGGGTGGAGCTGGGAGGGAACATGAGATCACCTGTTCATCTTCCAAACCCAGCTCAGAGCCCAGAGGAAACCTTCCTTGGAGCTGTCCCTGCCCCCCTCTCCCAGCAAATCATTCTGTCCTCTGTACCAACTCCAGGTCTTGCACGTTTCCATAGTTACACTCATACTCTATTTATTTTATTGGTTACCTTGTGTGCCTCCTCTTTTAGCCTCTTGATTAAACTTCGTTCATCTTAATATCCCTAGCAGAGGGCTACACATGTAAGGAAGGAAGGAAGGAAGGAGGGAGGGAGGGAGGGAAGGAAGGAAGGAAGGAAGGAAGGAGGGAGGGAGGGAGGGAAGGAGGGAAGGAAGGAAGGAGGGAAGGAAGGAGGGAGGGAGGGAGGGAAGGAAGGAAGGAAGGAAGGAAGGAGGGAGGGAGGGAGGGAAGGAGGGAAGGAAGGAAGGAAGGAAGGAGGGAGGGAGGGAGGGAGGCAGGACAGGAGGATGGAAGGAAGCAAGGGAGGAAGGGAGGGAGGGAGGGAGGGAGGGATTGATTGATTTCAACCCCTTTTATATTCTGGATGGAGAAACCAAGGCCTAGAGAGAAGTGGCTTTTCCATAGTCACACAAGAAAGCCAAAGGAAGCATGGAGAGCGGAAATTAGGAATCCTAATGCTCAGTTTAGTGCCCATTTAACCAATTGGGCTGCTGACCCACAATGAAGCTGCTTGGCCGGGAAGCAAGTCATTGGTGTCTGGGCTACAGCAGGCCTAGAGTCCTGAGCTACAGCAGAGCAGCTAGAAGGGGTTATCCCAGGCTTCATCCTGACTTGTCTCACCTGCCACGGCACTGTGCAGACCAAATGCATATCCCCCTCGACTGTGACCCTGTCTCCCAGCAGATCCTGGCAGCACAGAGGGGCAGAAGACCATGGTGTGGGGGGGGGGGGGGTCCCAGGCCATTCAGCAACTCAAAAAGGGGTGCAGCAGAAAAGCCATCACCTGTTCTTTCTTAGATGGCAAGCCTGGAAGGTGGGCAGCAGCCACGTTCAGTGGGATGTTGATGTACGAAGAGAAGGGCTTTGAGACTCGGCAGAAGGTGCTTCCCTCCCACGGCCTCCCTGACTCCTGAAGTGATGCTCTCAAGTCATCGCACTCCCCTGCTGGGGTTCAAGTCCTCCATCTTCTCTGCCACCTGTCTTAGCCCCATGTATCCCCGGTCCCCGGGGAAATACCAAGGCCTCAGCTAATGCTCAAGGGCAGGACACAGCTTCTGGAGCAGAGGCAGCCTCTCCAGGCAAGGGAGCAGCTGCTTCCTCAGTGCTCCCCATAGCCTGACAGAGTGCCTGGGGGGCTAGAAACGTTTTGATTATTAACACAGCCAAGCAGCTGAATAAAATAATAAGTTAGAGAACACCATTGCAGGGGCGATGGGCACCGTAGGGAGCCATGGAAGAAAATGGTAGGGGAAAGAAACATCTCCTGGGTGGCCACAGAGGAAACCCTGGACCACATTTTCTTTTACGGTCCCAAAGGAGGCATGAAAGTGTCAGCGTTTTTGGTTCCTTCCCTGCTTTGTAGGATCATCCAATCGACATCAGCTTAACTGAAATTCTAGGTGGCAGGGGCCAGGGGGAGGTGGGAGTGAGGGACAGGGTGATGGGGAAGGATTGCCACCTGAAGTCTGCCCTCGTTCAGGTGGAGGTGAAGATGGCTCTGAATTTTTCAAACTTTGGAATGTGACCCATTAGGGTTGTGATATAAGTTTAGTGGGTTGTAAGCTGCACTAAAAACGAAAAGAAGGAAAGAATCAAAATAGAAAAAAATATCTGAGTGCATCACACACCATAAGCGTAAAGCTTACTTTGGTGAACAATGTTCCACGTAACTATTCTTTATGCTTCAGTGTATATCTTACATGGGACAAGATCCCAAAAGTCTTAAAGCCAGCGCTATTGGAGACTGAAGCTGAACCTTGGTCTCTTGTTTACAATGAAGAGCTCTACCATCCACCATCCACATGTCCCAGATGCCTTTTTAGGTTAAGGACCCAATCTTGACAATTTCACCTTATAAATCCCTTCACTCTCTGCAAATATTTAGATCCCCATTGACACTCCCACAATGTAAGTCACCACCGTCTCCTGCCCTGATCAAAGCAAAGTCTAGAGGGAATGTCAACAGAGGCTGTTCCTGGGGTGGCCAGTGGTTTGGGTTGGACTGGGTCCCCCAAAAGATATGTCGAAATCCTTACCCTTGGTACCTGTGAATGTGGCCTTATTTGGAAATATGATATTCACAGATGTAATCAAGTTAAGATGAGGTCATTAGGGTGGGCCCTAATCTAATATGACTGGTGTCCTTGTAAGAAGAAAACATCATGTGAAGACAGAGACACACACGGACAACAGTGTGTGATGACAGAGGCCTTGGAGACTATAGTGATGCAGCCACAAGCCAAGGAGTGCCAAGAATCAGCAGCCACAACCAGAAGCTGGGGTGAGGCGAGGAAAGATTCTATCCAAGTCTCATAGGGAGCTTGGCCCTGTGACACCTTGATTTTTGACTTTTAGCCTCCAGAACTGTGAGAGAATAAATTTTTGTTGTTTGAAGCCATCCAGTTTATGGCATTTTGAAATGAACTTAATGAGATAAGAACAATTTTTATTTTACGATACTTTTTAATATTTTAGAGGTTATCTGTAGTGGATACATAAGACTTTTATAATCAGGAAATAAATAGTTACTCTTAAAAAGAAATGCTTACTTAGCAAGAATCCTAATCATCCTATTGGATTTGTCTCTCAGAATGGAAACCATCTCTACCACACAGTTTACTATCCATATCAACACAGCTTTATTATTGCACCATCTTCATCATCACAACTTCACTATTGCAGGAAACTCTTGCCCAGGAAGATAAAAGTGACAAATTATTTTATTATTCCTTTCAGGAACTTTGCAAACAACATTTAAACAAATAGCAGATCGCACAACTTTTTAACAGATAGCATCTAATGACTGGTTTATTCTCCAAGACTCTTCAAAACTCTTGCCTTGCCATGTCTACCCATCCTAAACTCTCACATCATGGTCTTTCCCAATCTTAAGCAAGCCCCTGCAAGAAAGACCCTGAAAACTCAGACATGTCCCCCACTTCTGCATTTGCCTTTCTGAGATGCTTCTAAGACTCTGTCAAGTGTCTTCTCCCTCACCATGGTAGCAGGAAGCCCAGCTATGCCTTATCATGGGTTGATTTGGTGGTATTTTCAGGCATTTGACATCTAATATATTCAAAATACTGCATTTACTGAATGCAACCCCAACAGGCTAGAAATTATCATTGAATTGCAGCTGGGGAAGCAGATTCCTTGAAGTTAGGTAAGTTGCCCAAGGCTCCACCATTAGTAGTCAGCAGAGCATGGGTACAGCTGCCTGCAAAGCCTGCACTCTTGTCACTCTTCTACCTTCTCAAATTTAGTGAGACTGTAATAACAAATATATATATTCCAGTGTCTATTTTTGGGAACTGATGGTATTCTGCTCCCAATTACCCAGATGATTGCTTCAAGTGGACAGACTACACTCCTCTGGAAGACCTCACCCAGGCAGGCTCCTGAGGAGAGTTGCCATAGAGATTATTTTCATCACAGGCAGCAGTAGTTGGAGCCTCCAGGACTTCTGTTTCTCTGCCCTGGGCCTGGAGAATGTTAACCATGAAAGGTGAATGGATTTCAGTGGAAAACAAGTTATTATTTCAGGCAGTCACATTTTCCAAAAGGCGCTGGTGCAACAAGTTAGTGGGGAAGAAAGAACCGGACCCTTTGTACAGCAGGGCTAGAACACAAAGCCTATTGTTATGTTTGTGCCTCTATTCAGATGCCATGTGGTACAAACTCCATGCCAACCTGCAGACCCAATTCTTTTCTTCTTTCTCAGTAGCAAATGTACATATTTGCTTTAAAGTGGGAAGAATTCACCCATGGTTGATCGTTGATCTTTGATTTGGAAGATATCAACCTCAAAGTGGTGACACAAAAAAACAAAAGGTGGCTTGACTCATTCAGTGCTCGGGGAAGAGGATGTGTGTGCAGAATTCACTCACCCAGAAGAAGAAGTTGAAGACAAAGAGTAAATACTTCAAGTAGATGATCAGCCAGTCGTCCTGCTCAGTCTTATAGTGGGCCATGGCTTCTGGGCCTGCAGAGAAGACACATATGCTGGGCCGGGGAATCACCGAGAACCACCTTGTCCTTCCCAGAGCCAGAGCATCTTGGCAAGGCTCCCTTCAAAGGGCTCATTAACCTATCTGCCGGGGGCTTTGAGGCTCTGCATGTGCAGCATGGAGCAAAGATGTGGGAATTGCTAAGGAGACCAAATAGAGGTGAATTGGGGCAGAATCTTCCAGACCTTTAGATGTCAGTTTTGTCCTCTTGACAAAGGTCTAACCTACAAGTCTCCCACAGAATTTGCGCTGGTCTTACTGTGTTCTTAATCTCTTTTCCTGTCTCACCAGGGTTGCAGGACACAAGTTTACCTGTCCTACACGCACACACACACTCAGCATCACTACTTTGCATAGGAAACTTGCACTCTGCATCATTTGAACAGGACTCTGCATCCACAGGTGTGGCCTGAGCCCCAGAGCAGAGCACCTGTGTTGGAAAGGGCCCCAGTGATCACCCAGTCCACCCCACCTGGCCGCTGCAGCTTGACTTTTCAGATGAGGAAGCAGGCCCAGACAGGCCTGGTGGTTTGGCAGGAAGAAGCACAAGAGCCTCTGGAGTCTGACTCTCTGGGTTCACACCCTGATCTGTCACAAGATGTGTGATACTTTGGGCAAGTTACATGACCTCCCATCCCTCAGCATTCTCATCTGTAAATGGGGATAATAATGACACATATATCATAGGGTTGTTTTGAAGATTAAATGAAATAATCTATGTGAAGTGTTTAACATAGTCCTTGGCATGTAATAAGTGTTCAATGTTAGCTATTATTACATGTCAAAGAACTGGGGCTAGAGCCTAAGACTCTAGTCCTAAAACTCCCGTCTTTACCCCAGCACCATGCTGTCCCTCGCTCTGATGCCCACTGATGGACTCTCTGGGAAGTATGACATCAATGGTGGTGATACAGGCAGAGAGGGCCTACTGTGCCTGGTAATCCTGTTTGCTTCTCAGTCTGAACCTCAGAAAGTCTGAAGCCTTTGTAGTTTCCTCTTCTCCTCGAGCTGCATGTGCCCCTGGGCACCTGCACACCCACACTCACAGAGTAGTTGCTCTTTAAGAAATTACCCCCATTTTGGGAACCTCTTTTTATTTCAGAACCATAAGCAATGAGGCATGGCTTATGCTTATTCAGGCAGACGATCAGCCAGTCGTCCTGTTCAGTCTTATAATGGACCATGGCTGCTGGGCCTGCAGAGAAGACACACATGCCGGGCCAGGGGAATTTAGCATTTCCATCTCTTCCTCCATTATTTCCAACCCCCAACTGGACCATCCTTTCATCCTATTCTTGCCTCCTGGGCTGGTGCGTGACCACGCCCCAATTATTTCCTCTGAGCCACTGTTCTGCCTCTTATTTCAAGCTCATGGGCTCACTGAGACAGGAAGAAAGGAAGAGGGAAAAGACAATGTGGCTGACTTATTTGTGATTTCTATTTGCAGACGTTGAAGAAGGTAATTTAAGACTGCTAGTCTTCTCGTTAAGAAAACACAAAACTCATTTTTCTCCAATTCAGTTTTCGAGGTAGGGTGGTGGAATAAATATAAAAGGAGAAAAAAAGGAAGCCTGTAAGAAATGTCCGTGGATGGGGTCGGCCAGGGGATCTAATGGGAGCGATTTCACGGCCATTATGCAGTCAGTCCTGACAAGAGACCAGGTGCAGCGTCTCCTGGGCCACCGCAGGCCCTTAGCAAGTGGCAGAGTTTGTGGGGCCTGGCCACTCCTGTCTGCAGTCTCCCTCCCCTCCCAGGCAGGGCCACTGGACTTCTGCCCCAGAGCTTTCTCTCTACTTGCAGCAAAGAGGCCTGATTCACTCACTCAAACCACAGAGTCAGGGCCCTGCCCTCTAAAGGAAAATTGTATTTTTTAAAAAGAACTTCAGGCAGAAGACAAGGCTTAAGGAAAAGAAACCATTCTAATGGTAAAATTTCAGTCATTAGTGGTGGGGAAAATAGAACCACAAAATGTCAGGGTCAGGGGAAACCTTTGGGCTCACTTAATTCAATCTTCTGCAGAAAGAATGAGGAATTTTACATATTTAAGATGCATATTTAAAAATGACTTTTCTAAGGTCACATGGCTAATCTGTAGTTGAGTTTCCTATTCTCCACCATTCAGTGCTCCTTTCCCCTAACACCATATTTGGGGCCCAGGGTGGCAGAGGCTCCAAAGAAGTGTCAGTACCAGCCTGCAGCCAGATGACTGGATCTGAAAGCTAGCTTTGCCATTTTACTGGCTGTGTGACCTTGGGCAAGTTATTTAACCTCCCTGTGTAGCTAGTATTTATGGAACACTTACTATGTGCCAGGTACAGAACTAAGTGCTTTACACTCATTATTTCGGTCCATCTTCCCAATACCCCTATGAAATAGGGTTATTTCCATTTCATAATATAATCGAGGTTTAGACAGGTTAAATAATTCATCCAAAGTCACATAGCAAGTACATGACAAAGCCAGAGCTGAATAAAGAATCTCTGCCTCTGGGCTCAAGCTTTTACCCACTGTGCAATACTCACAGGACCAGATCTACCAGGGCAAAGGAGGAAGGGGAGCGACCAGAGACTGCTGGTTCCCCTAATATTTGTTAGAATATTTGTTAGAATAGAACTTCTCAATTTTAGTTAGATACTTAGTCACCTGGAACAGACAACATTTCCCAGCCTCCTGTCCTGCTAGGTATAGCCAGGATTCACTGCTGGCCAGGAAATGGTATATAAGAAGTGGTATAGGCAACTTCTTACAAGGATCATTTTTTGATATATGTTTCACACACATTTGAAAAGAATGAGAATCCTGTCATTATAGGGTACAGAATTCTGTATGTGTCAGTTAGATCAAATTCGTTAATTGTACTTTTCACGTCTTCTATATCCTTACTGACATGTTCTATTGGCTATTGAAAAAGGTATATTACAGACTCCCACTATGATTGTGAATTTATTTATCCCTCACTTAATACTGTTAATTTTTGCTTCATATATTTTGTAGATATTTTATAGGTTGTAAAGAAATTTGGAGTTGTGATATCATTCTGGTAGATCAAATTCTTAATCATTAATAAATGCCATTCTTTATCTCTAATAATCAGAGGTATCCTCAATGTGTGTGTGTAGGGGATGTCTCTCTTCTCCCTTTCTTTCTGTTGGTGGGAATGCTGATGTTATGGCTGGAGCTCAAGCAGCCATCCTGGGCCATGAGCTGGAAACCATGGGTTGAAAAGGGCAGGTCAATAAGTTCAAGGAGTCTGGGTCTCAGATGATTTTAGAGCTGCCATACCATCCCTGAGCTGCTTACCTGCAAACTGAGTGTACATGAGAGAAAGACAAACTTGTAGTTTCTTTCAGCTACATGTTTGAATATGCTATTGCTCACAGCTAACATCACCCTGGTACAGCAGAGGAAGCAGTGGGTACTAAGGGGTGTGAGAGCATCCCATGCTGAGGCACAGCAGGTCTCACACAGCAAGACCAGAGACAATGCCGTGCAGTGGTGGCCAAGCAATTCTGACTGTACAACTGCCCCCGCTAATTTATTGATAAATATTATTCACGTACTATTGTCAATCTATGTTGCAGATATTCAAAGTTTAATTCTGCATTGTTTAAAGGAAAAAATAATTAGGGATACAGATTCTAGTAAGTCCTCTCTGCACCCCAGTGTACTGTCTGTCTCCACTTTGGAGGCCACTGGTACAGAGTATGAGTGGAGGGAGTGAGAGCTGAAGGGTATGTAGGGGGTCAAGTCAAGAGCGACCTTACATGCCAAGCTCAGGGACTAGGATTCACATCCTGAAGGTGATGCCAACCCCAGGATGGTGATGCTTAAGTCCAAGAAAGAGAAGGGGGTGGGGGGAATGGAGAGTAGGGGACAGATGCCTGAACAGCATAGAGAGGAGGTCCCATCAGGCAGGCAGTGTGTGTAAGAGGCAGGGGAGGAAAGATTCTAAGGAGGAGCCCTGCTGTCTAAAAAGAGAGCCACTGGAGGAAGAAGCAACTAGGCAGCAAAATGATGTGCGAGGGGGAGGGTAGAAGGAGAACCAGGGGAGTGCAGGGTCCTGGAAGCCAGGGAAGACAGGGTGGCCCACAGTGCCACATGCTGTCAAGAGGTGTCAGTCAAATGAGGACTAGCAAGCGCTCACTTTCATCTGTGGAGGACAGGTGGAGGGTTAGGGGTGCCCCATGAGGTGGGAGGAAATGAGACCTGGAGGTGGATATTTTCAAATGACAAGGCCAGGAGGGAAGCAGCTAGGAGGCCTGGGAAAGGAAGCTGATATGGTTTGGCTGTGTCCCCACTCAAATCTCAACTTGAATTGTATCTCCCAGAATTCCCATGTGCTGTGGGAGGGACCCAGGGGGAGGTAATTGAATCATGGGGGCCAGTCTTTCACATACTATTCTCACGTACTATTCTCATGATAGTGAATAAGTCTCACGAGATCTGATGGGTTTATCATGAGTTTCGGCTTTTGCATCTTTCTCATTTTCTCTTGCTGCCACCATGTAAGAAGTGCCTTTTGCCTCCCACCATGATTCTGAGGCCTCCCCAGCCATGTGGAACTGTAAGTCCAATTAAACCTCTTTTTCCTCCCAGTCTCGGGTACATCTTTATCAGCAGTGTGAAAATGGACTAATATAGTAAATTAGTACCAGTAGAGTGGGATGTTGCTGAAAAGATACCAGAAAATGTGAAAGCAACTTTGGAACTGGGTAACAGGCAGAGGTTGGAACAGTTTGGAGAGCTCAGAAGACAGGAAAATGTGGGAAAGTTTGGAACTTCCTAGAGATTTGTTGAATGGCTTTGACAAAAATGTTGATGGTGATATGAACAATAAGGTCCAGGCTGAGGTGGTCTCAGATGGAGATGAGGAACTTGTTGGGAACTGGAGCAAAGGTGACTCTTGTATGTTTTACCAAAGAGACTGCCAGCATTTTGTCCGTGCCCTAGAGATTTGTGAAACCTTGAACTTGAGAGAGATGATTTAGGGTATCTGGTGGAAGAAATTTCTAAGCAGCAAAGCATTCAAGAGATGACTTGGGTGCTATTAAAAGCATTCAGTTTCATAAGGGAAGCAGAGCATGAGAGTTTGGGAAATTCGCAGCCTGACAATGCAGTAGAAAACTTCATTTTCTGAGGAGAAATCCAAGCCAGCTGCAGAAATTTGCATAAGTAATGAGGAGCCAAATGTTAATCCCCAAGACAATGGGGAAAATATCTCCAGGGCATGTCAGAGGTCTTCATGGCAGCCCCTCCCATCACAGGCCCAGAAGTCAAGAAGGAAAAAGTGGTTTTGTGGGACGAGTCCAGGGTCCCTCTGCTGTGTGCAGCCTAGGGACTTGGTGCCCTGTGTTCCAGCTGCTCCAGCTGTAACTAAAAGGGGCCAACATAAAGCTCGGGCTGTGGCTTCAGAGGGTGGAAGCCCCAAGCCTTGGCAGCTTCCACGTGGTGTTGGGCCTGTGGGTGCACAGAAGTCAAGAACTGAGGTTTGGGAACCTCTGCCTAGATTTCAGAAGACACATGGAAACACCTGGATGCCCAGGCAAAAGTTTGCTGCAGGGGCGGCGCCCTCATGGAGAACCTCTGCTAGGGCAGTGTGGAAGGGAAATGTGGGGTTAGAGCCCCCACACAGAGTTCCTACTGGGGCACTGCCTAGTGGAGCTGTGAGAAGGGGGCCACTGTCCTCCAGACCCCAGAATGGTAGATCCACCAACAGCTTGCACCATGCGCCTGGAAAAGCTGCAGACACTCGATGCCAGCCTGTGAAAGCAGCTGTACCCTGCAAAGCCATAGGAGCAGAGCTGCCTAAGACCATGGGAACCCACCTCTTACATCAACATGACCTGGATGTGAGAGCTGGAGTCAAAGGAGATCATTTTGGAGCTTTGAAATTTGACTGCCCTGCTGGATTTTGGACTTGCATGGGCCCTGTAACCCCTTTGTTTTGGCCAATTTCTCCCATTTGGAATGGCTGTATTTACCCAATACCTGTACCACCATTGTACCTAGGAAGTAACTAGCTCACTTTTGATTTTACAGGCTCATAGGCGGAAGGGACTTGCCTTGTCTCAGATGAGACTTTGGACTCTGGACCTTTGGGTTAATGCTGAAATAAGACTTTGGGGGATGGATGGGAAGGCATGATTGGTTTCGAAATGTGAGGACATGAGATTTGGAGGGGCTAGGGGCAGAATGATAAGGTTTGGCTGTGTCCTCACCCAAATGTCAACTTGAATTATATCTCCCAGAATTCCCATATGTTGTGGGAGGGACCCCCGGGGAGGTAACTGAATCATGGGACCAGTCTTTCACATACTATTCTCGTGACAGTGAATAAGTCTCATGAGATCTGATGGGTTTATCGGGGTTTCTGTTCTTGCTTCTCTCTCATTTTCTTTTGCCACCACCATGTAGGAAGTGCCTTTTGCCTCCTGCCATGATTCTGAGGCCTCCTCAGCCATGTGGAACTGTAAGTCCAATTAAACCTCTTTTTCTTCCCAGTCTCAGGTATGTCATTATCAGCAGCATGAAAACGGACTAATACAGAAGCACTTTTGTGTTGTAAGGAAGGGAGGCTGGAGCATGCCTGGTGCACTGTGAAAGGCTCCAAAACCCACTTAGCTCTGCTGCCTCAAGGGAAAGGGGACAGGGCTGAAGGAGGAGCTACTATTTCTAGCAACCACTTCCAGCCCTCCTCCTGGCTGTCCTAATGGACTCCCCTGTCTAGGACCTTGTTGTACCCCACAATTTTTCTTTGCCTAGAGAGTGACACATGAGATGGGCATGGTAATGGCTGCAGTAGACCCTGGACAGAAGCAAACATATGCCACTTGATGTGGGCTTATCTGCCCCTGCCAGTGAACGGAGGGACCTGGGCTTTGGATAATCCCCTGAAATTGTTTTCACTGAGCTCTGGGGAGTGTCTTCTGATTTCTGGGAAGCAGACGGGCCTTCCTAAGTAGGTTATTTCTGTTCACAGGAATTGGGCTTCTTGAACCAATGGGAGGAGGTGTCCCTAAGGGGCAAAAGCCAGACAGTAGGGGGCAGGCAAGGCAGAGACTCCCACCTGGGGGTGGTAATCAACACTGGACACAGAATCACGGACAGCCCCAGGGACAGCCCCAAAGGAGAGGGACTGTACCCCCAGACCCCCCACCTCCGTGAAGCTGGTCTTTTCTTTGGCCTCTGAAAGGCCCTGCTGCATCCTTGCTCTGGGCTTTCATTCACGCTGTGATCTGAATCAGAAACACCTGCTCCTCTCTGCCTGTCTGAATGCTCCAGGGCTCAGAGGAATCCCATCCTCTCTGAAGGTGGCTGTCCCCACCTTCCCAGATCCCCAGAGCAGCACCCGGTGCCCAGGAACCACAGCAAGTGATCTGGGTCCTTTTCAGTACCATATTTACTTAGCAGGCTGATGGAGTTTGATTGGGTAACCCTCCGAGCCTGTTGGCTTGAGCTGGGGCAGCTGAACCACACAGTGCAGTCAGGACCCTTTCTCTGGGTCTGCTCTTTGCTGCCTGTGCTTGGTAAGGCATGTTACTGTCTTCTCGGGGTGTTTGTTTTCCCAGCTATCAGTAGAGTGGTTCTCCTGAGCAAGTCTCAGAATTATCTGGAGGGTTTGTTAAAACACAAATTGCTGGGTCTACCCCCAAAGTTTCTGATTCATTAGGTTTAGGGTGAGACACTGGAGAATTTGCTCTCAGAAGGGTGACTAATGATCCCCATTTGCCCAGGACAGGGGGATTTCTTGGAATATGGTAGTGCTGTTCAGTGTTAAACCAGGATGGCTGGCCACTGCTCCCAGATGCTGCTTGTCTCGGAACCACACTTTGAATCAATTTTCTTCAAGGCCCCTTTCAGTTCTGAAAGTTCAGGACCCTGCAGTGTAAGTATCCTTCACATCTGAAACAAACTAACTGAGCGGGGCGGAGCACAAGGCTGGCCCTGTCCTCTCATGCAAACTCACACTTAGGACACAGTTCCTGTTGAAATGTCAAGGATTTCCCAGATATCCTGGTAATGGGCCTCAGCGGGCCTTCTTCCAGGCTGAGGTTCTGACTGCAGAACAAAGCTGGGATTCAGGGGGAGCCAGCAGGCCCTGGGGGCCATTAATGTCATAGACAGGACCCACACCATACGACATCTCAGAAAAGCAACCGCAAATGCCTTGATGGTGAGGTGATGGATTTTGGCGACTTTCTTCAGGGCCGGATGTGTAATGTCATGGGCTGTGAGACTTGGGGATCATTGTGTCTTCGGCTGCATCCCCTCTTCCCTAAGTGAATGAGGCTCAAGCACCGAGAAGACAAGGGACATGTAGAAAGGGCCCAGCTGGCTGGCCAGATGTGCTGGGAGTCCTAGTGAACAGGGCAAGGCTCCATCCAGGGCCAGCGACCAGGAGCAGAGGGACCACAACTGTTGGCTGAGGGGCAGAGCTGAGTCCTTTAATGGTGATGGGTGGCAGAGAGTTGGGGAGTGCTTGGGAGCTGATTTTTATAAATCAGACATAAATACAAGGCATTTTCAGGCCCTGGGCCAGCTGCATCCTTTACACACTCAAACATGTATGGAGTCCCCAGCAGGTGCCAGGCCTGGTACTTAGAACCACTGGACTTACTCCTTCAGGAGCTGACAGAAGCCATGGAGGATGGGCCATAGGCATATAAACAACTTCCAGACACTGGGGAGCGCTTTCAAGATGCTGGCCTGTGTTGATAATGGGAACACAGAGGGAGGGGTGTTCATTCTGCCAGACAGGGGTGGTGGGGGCAGGGGGATGGCAAAAGGAAGGGGCATTTAATCTGGTCCTTGAGGACAGGCAGGGTTTCTGAGGGCAGAAAAGGAGGAGGGGCTGCCCAGTCAGATGGGGCAGTGTGAGCAAAGGCCTGGGGGAATGGCTGGGCAGCATGGGCCAGTGCAACAGGAAGCACTGGGAAGTCAGGTTCGGGTTAGGGCCTGGAACAGTCTGGTTGGCCTCACTTAGTTGTGACTTTCCTCCCTTTCTCCACATCCTCTACTCTTAGGATCCTATCAGCTTTTTAGCAAAAGCTCCCATTAGCAAAAGCTCAGGTTGGGGGACTCTGACTCTCTATTCCCTAAGAGGGGAGCACCCCATACTCAGGGAGCACCCCATACTCAGGGGAGGGCTTCTGGGGAACTTGGTGCTTCTAAAATAAAAACAAAGCTGGCATATTTCACTTTAAATAATGTCTTCCAGGTTCAACCATATTGTCACAAGCAACAGGATTTCCTTCTTTTAAAAGACCAAACAGTCTTCCATTGTGTATATATACACATTCTCTTTATCCATTCATCTGTTGATGGACACTTAGGTTGATTCCATATCTTGGCTATTGTGAACAGTGCTGACATGGACATGGGAGTGCAGATATCTCTTTCACATACTGATTTCACTTCCTTTGGATATAGACACAGAAATGGCTTATGTTAAGCGAAATAAGCCAGGCACAGGAAGACAAATAACATATGATCTTACTCACATGTGAAATCTAAAATTGTTGATCCCATAGAAATAGAATGGTGGTTCCTAGGGGCTGGGGGATTGTGAGGGGGATTAGGGAGATGATGGTCAAAGGGTACAGAATTTTTAGACAAGAGGAATAAGTTCAAGAGATCCATTGTACAACATGATAACTATAGTTAATAATATATTGTATTCCTGAAAAATACTAAGAGAGTGAATGTTACATGCTCTCACCACAAAATGATAATTATATGAAGTACTACCTTTGTTATTTAGACTTAGTCATTCCACAATGTATATATGCTTCAAAAATCATGTTGTACATGGTAAATACATACAGTTTTATCTGTCATTTAAAAAAAAAAGAAAACTCTCCACAAAACTAGTGTGTTTGCTATGGGGGTAAGCTAGACTCCACTCCCCACCCCTGCAGTTAAATAAGTGCCAGTTTCTACCTCTGAGTTCTTGGCCAACAAGAGGTCATGCCTGCTTGATGGCCAAAGACAGCTGGAAAGGAAAAAACAGTCTAAATGGTTTAATTTATAACTTAATTTAGGCCTCTAATGAAACTTGGTTACAGCCCCTGCATGGTGGATTTCCACACCCCATGCCAACAGCCTTGTCCTTCTGTGCCCGTTTCCCTCTTAGTTAATTTTCACTTTCCTGCTCCATTCCCGATGAGTGGACACTGTGACTGTCCATCTTCCTGAAGCAGTCATAGAAGTGAGACTTCCTCAGACTCTTGGAATGGGGCAGCTGGAAGGAGCCAAAAGGATCCCGAGCTCAGCTCCTTTGTGTGAGAATCAAGCAAGCTTGGTGGAGCTTGGGGTGGGGGAACAGGAGGTCACACTGTGGCCAAAGTCACACTGCAGATTAGTAGCAGGGCAGGATCTGGTTTCCTGTCTCCCAGGCCAGTGTTCTTTCCACAGCTACCAACAAGATTTTGATTGGCGGATACAGTAATTATAAACATAAACATTTACTAAATGCTAACTACATGCTAGGCAGCAAACCAAGTGATGCATGTGCATTAATTAATTTAATCCTAAAAATAATCCCATGATGGAATCATCATCCCTTTTTATAGAGGAGAAAACTGAGGCACAGAACAGTAAGTGGATACCCAGACACATGAGAGCAGATGTTTGAGACCCAGTAAGTGAGACCCAGACACGCAGAGCAGACGTTTGACTTTTCCTTGTGCAGATCTAGTTTGGGTTTCTTGTAGCTTCTTTTAGCTTGGTGGTCTCTGGCGGAAGCTAAGAATGAGGGGATCTGCCCTGGGCAGAGACCCCAGTCGGGGCTGTGGGAGGCAGCAGGGCCAGTGTTCTCCGACCCTTAAGGGAACCTGAGTCAGCAGTGCCATGACGGCCGTCACTGCAAAGAAACCAACTGCTTGGAGAACCCTCTGGAGGGAATCACACCTTCTCCCTGGTCCTCTGTCTCCTTGACTGAGGCCAAGAGATCCAGTGGCTGCCAGTGGCACAGTGAGGCACAGGCTGGGCTGGGGTTTCTGAGCAACTGCTGGCCTTTTCTATCACCATGTTCATTGTGTGCAGGTAAATGAATTCAGGCAACTCTTTTGGACCAAACTTAGGGTCAGATTGCTAACTACAGAGTCACATGGATGGTGCAGTAGAACTCGAATTAAAACCCTAGCACTAAGAATTCTTTGTCTCTATGCCCTGAGAGACATGTTTTCCTAAGTACATGACTTTTGTACATGACTTTTTTTTTTTTTTTAACTTCATTTGCAAGTAACAAATTGCATTCCATGTCTTAGTCAGGACTCTGCTCCTATCATCAGGCAAGTGGTTTGGCTTGTCCTTATTCTCCAGATGCAGACATACACACAGAGTCCCTGGATGGTTTGCTACCTGTGTTTCTTTTTCTTTTTTGGTTATATTCCAATGCCACATGCATGCTATGTTTTTCCTAGATCATTTTTTCTTTTTTAAAAGCTGCAGTCTGACCTATGAAATGAGAACTTCAGTGCTTGTGACAAAAATCAGTGATGAAGCAAACAGAAAATAGCCAGTAGTTGGCAGGTTTGAAGATCTGGGTGTGAGTACTAGCTGCCACCTACAGCAGTTTGACCCTGGACAAATCCTGTGACCTCCAGAGCCTCCCTTCCTCCTCTGTAAGATGGAGATGATGCTGGGCTGGCTTTGTCTCCCTTGCATGGTGGCTGTGAGGACCAAATGGGATGGAGGATTTGTAAGAACAGTATGCACTTCAATTTTATGGCGTCAGTGCCAGACAAGGGTAAAGGAATGATTAGACCCAACTCTCTAAGAGCTTCCCGATGAAGGACAATGGGAAAAGATTGGGTAACCCTAAAAATACATCATCCAGAGCCCGAATCTGACGGCTGGGATGCAGTCTCAGCACCCCTGCCCCTCAGCCCACCGGCCTGCTAGTGCACTGTATTCCGATGGTTGTGAGGGAAGGCCCTGTTCCCAAGTGGCCATGAAAAATCTACCTGGAGAAAACCAAGACCTCAGTTTAACAAAGCAAACTGGCTCAGACAGGAAAGTCATTTAAAAGAAGTGGGAAGAAGGCAATGGCTACAGTGATAAGTGCCGTAGAGTGAGAGAAGCCCTTCATCTCTGTTTTCAACAAGATGGAAGCAAGGCGCAGCAAAAGGAGAACCCTTGGTGGGGTTGGAAGAGGTGCCCCCAGGCGGGACTGCAGCTGGGGTGCCCCATGGGTGGGGTTCCAGGAGGCAGCACCAGCAGGGCCTCTGCCATCCCAGCAGGGCTAGTGAGGTCATCAAGTCCAGAAGGTGACAGCTGTCTTGGTGCTTGGGTCACCTCTACACATTCCTTCCCTTCTCAATAGGCCCCCAAACACTATTGTAACTTAAGGGGGGCTAGGCCTACACCCAGGGACCTGGGCTCTAGTCCCAGTTCTGTTTCTAACTTGCTCCTTGCCTTTGGGCCTCAGTTCTTCTCACCTATAAAACTGGAGTGACTACCCTCCTTACTGGGTTGGGTAAAAATGTGGCCTGATTCCAAGACTTACTGCTGGCACAGTAGTTTCGGACCATTTCTGCATCGCCCAAGGCTCTGTGTATTTTGTGTGCCTAGGAATAACCGTGGCTAGTGTTTATCATGTACCATGCATCAGGCATGGTACTAAGAGCAGTTGTCCCACAGTATATGCGGGGGATTGGTTCCAAGATCCCCAAGTATAGCAAAATCCATGCATACGCAAGGTTGGCAGTCGGTCCCGCAGAACCCTTGCATGTGAAAAGTCGGCCCTCTGTATATATGGGTTTTGCATCCTGCAAATACTGTATTTTTGATCTGTATTTGGTTGAAAAATATGCACGTATAGGTGGACATACACAGTTTAAACACATGCTGTTCAAGGATCAACTGTACCTTGTAACAGCGGTCCCCAACCTTTTTGGCACCAGGGACTGGTTTCGTGGAAGACAATTTTTCCACGGATGGTGGAGGTAGGGGGAGGATGGTTTTGGGATGAAACTGTTCCACCTCTGATCATCAGGCATTAAATTCTCACAAGGAGTGTGCAACTGAGATCTCTCACATGTGAATTCATAATAGGGTTCGTGCTCCTATGAGAATCTAATGCCACCACTTATCTGACAGGTGGCGGAGCTCAGGCGGTAATGCTCGTTCACCTGCCACTCACCTCTTGCTGTGAGGCTGGTTCCTACTGGGGCATGATCTGGGGGTCAGGGACCCCTGCCTTGTAAGCATTATCTCTTTTAATCCTCACAACCCCATGAGGTAGGCATGCGCATTGTCCGCATGTTACAGAAGAGGAAAGGGAGACAGAGGTTAACTCTGGTTTACACCTGCACATAATTATGTGGACATAATTATGAGCAGTGCTTCTATTCACTTAAAAAACATCCCAGGTTGGCTCTTTACCACCATGTTATGCTGCTTGTCAACAATATTCAATACTCCTCAAGCCTCTAAACCTGTCGGATTCCCTCCACACTCTATGTATTTCTCCATCCCACTTCCTGCTCTTACATCCCAGGGTCAACAATCCCCATTAATGAAGTCTGAGGCATGCCCCTTAGCTATATTATCTGATAAAATATGAGTTGAGTTCTGGGCCCTGAACACCCAACAGAGTACCTGATGTATGGGTGTCGGATGCTGAATGAATGAATGAATGAAGGAAGGAATGCATTAAGGAGCCATGTGAACACTCATGAACTCTTTGAGAATCACATAAATATTTCTCATCCCACTCAGGCTCTCACCTGGTTCCCCAAGGAACCTAAGTCAAAGGTATTGGAAAGGAGAGAAGTGAAACTCAGGCCATTGCTTCTATGGCATGCACCTGTGGGAACGTGCAGGATGCATTTCTGTGTAGATGGCTTTAGTGCAGGCACCAGCCAGTTCTCCCAACAGGGCCCTTTGGGAGTCTTTCACAAGCCAGCCCAGGGATTTCCCGTCTTTTTCTCCCTGAGTTTTCTCTGCACTCTCCACAATGTCTTCTCTTTTCTCTCGTTTTCCAATTTCAGCCTCAGATGAGAGATACAGACCTATGTCCATTGTACATCAAAGTAAAAAATCCTTTTGAAAATAATCCAAACAAGGCACCAATGTGAACAGGACAGTTCCATTGATGGGAAACACCTGAGGTTGTAATCGGGCCCTTCCTTAGAGGAGTGAGACCTCAGAAGAAACCCACAGCAGAAGGGGGCAGCTCTGACAGGGATTGAAAATGAATATGCAGTCTCCTCACTTCTCCTAACCCTTCGCCCTCTTTTTCTTGCCTTTGCTCCAGCCCTTAAAAACAGACCCACAGCAGAGCCCGGGAAAGCCCAGAGCCCCTAAAACCCACCACTAGTGTGATCTCAGTGTTGGCAAACACAAGTGGCTCCCTTCTCCTGCTGCAGAACTCAGAATCAAAAGTGGCAGAACTGTTAGAGATGGAGTGCGTGCATGTGGTTGAATTTGAAGGTAGATCATTACATAAACAAATGCCAGATCTGAGGAAGGCGCGTCATCCTGTCTCTGTTTCAGAAACTGTGATTTCCTAGTTATGAAGACAGGTGTTTTATGGCCTTGAGAAACCACCTCTGGCCACTGGCACCTCTCCCAGACTCTGGTCAGTAGTAAAAAACCCAGCCCCCTGCAGCTTCAGCACAGTGGTCGGGCCCTCAACTGGCCCAGTTTTCTTACTTGTCTCAATAACTCAGTGAGGCAGGTGCCACTCCTTCTGGATTTTTTTTTTTTTTTTGATGGAGTCTTGCTCTGTCGCCCAGGCTGGAGTGCAGTGATGCAATCTTGGCTCAATAGAACCTTCACCTCCCAGGTTCAAGCAATTCTTCTGCCTCAGCCTCATGAGTAGCTGGGACTACAGGCATGCACCACCATGCCCACCACACCTGGCTAATTTTTGTATTTTTAGTAGAGACAGGGTTCACCATGTTGGCCAGGCTGGTCTCGAACTCCTGGTGTCAAGTGATCCACCCACCTCAGCCTCCCAAAGTGCTGGGATTATAGGAGTGAGCCACCACAACCAGCCCGCTTCTGTTTTATAAACAAGGAGGCTGAGGCTCCTTTGGCAGACCTGGGAATCAAGCCCAGGTGTTGCTGATGCCAAAGTCAAAGTCTCTCAGGGTTGGGCTTTTAGTAGGCTTTGAGGAGGGAAGATAAGTTGTCCCTATCCAGAATTGATTTCTCTGTCTAGGCTTGGTCCTTGGAGCACTGAGATGCTTCCCGAGAAGCTGCTCAGAGCAAGGATGGAAGCTTCAGGGGTGACCCATTCAGGGTGAGCTCAGGATCTGTAAGGCAAAGAGCAGCAGCAGCAGAAGGTCCAAGACCCCAGGGTGCTGGGGTTCCCCTGAGGGTGGGACATGGTTGAGACCCATGAGAATGGCTGCCCCTGGAATTGTGCAAGGCACAGTCTGTGCAGGTGTGCACAGCTGCCCTGCAAGTGCCCAGCTGCTCATTGGACAAGCAGCTTATCTTCTAGCTCTCATTTCTAGTAAACCAGCACCCCTTCTAACTACCCATCCTTCCCTGCCCAGCCTGGGTGCCTTCCTTCTGATGGGGTCAGCTGGGGAAATCCTGATGTTTATTGGAAGTTACCAACCAGGGACTTGGCAGCACAGTATATAGTGGGTGAGCAGTTGAGGCAGGTGTCCAAGGGCTGGGCTGCTCATGTCCATTGAGGGTGGACAGACATTTGGGGGGCTGGTTCATCCAATAAAAGACCCCCATTGATCTCTTTAAACAGACAAGCCTTAGTGATCTGTAGGTAGATATCTTTTCTTCCTTCTAGAGGATGGGATGTGGCATTAAACTTCCTTCAGTTTGATTCCTAAGGGAGCCAAGACTACTAATGGTCTCCCAGAAGATTTTCTCCCCTTCTTCCATTAAAATGGAGTCATAGCTGGGTATGTGGCCACCTAACAAGTGACTGCATTCCCCAACCCTTCTAGCAGCTAGCTCTGGCCATATAGTATTCTTGACAATGGATGAGTGGAAGTAGTACTCCACCCCTGGACCTTAAAATACTGCTCATGCACATTGCCACAATCTTTCCCTTTCCAGTCTTTCCCTTGCCATGGATGTGTCTGAAATCAGCTTCAACCATGCAGACAAGGACAGCACCTCAGAGCGGTGGTTCTCAAAATCAAGGGTACATTAGAATCACCTGGAGGGCTTTCAAAACTACAGTGCTCCCCTATTAGAGATTCTGAGTAAGTCTGGGGTCATGCCTGAGACTCTGCATTTCTAACACGTTTCCAGGTGAGGCTGATGCTGTTGGTCTGGGGACCACACTTTGAGACCACGCACTGCCCTTGGGGATGGTAGACAAAAAGGGCAGGAACCTGGCTCCCTGTATGACTGTGTGGAGCAGAACAGCTTGCCTAGCCTGAACTGTTACATGAAAGAAAAAGAAGCTTCTTTGTTCTTTAAGCCACAGTCCTGTTGGGTTTCTGACACAGCAGTTCAGCCTTTGTTTTAACTAACTCCTATCCCTGGGGGTCAGAGTCTTTGTACAAATGTCCCTGCCCCACTGCCCCCTGCCGCCCCCCCAAAAGTACGCTTTAGCTCCACTTCTAGAAGCAACAAATTAGTCCTGTGTAAGACTAGTATAGTGAGCCAGGATACAATCTCAGCTGTTAAGATGCAACAGTTCAACCTAATGACCATGCATACTGTTTCTCAAGTCACATTTTCCTAGATCCTGTTTCCCTCTTAAGTTATTGCCAGATCTTTCTTCCTCTGAAGCTTCACTTCTTCATCCATTCATCCTGCACCCCACCACTGTCTGACCTCCTCCACCGCCCACTTAACCCAAAGTCACTTCCAATTGCCAGAGCCAAAGGTGGCTTTTCCTATCTCCTCCTGCTTCATCTCTGCTGAATTTGAAAAGTTGGTCACATCTTCTTTTGAAGCCTTCTCTCCCCACTGCTGGTTTCATGTTACCACTCTCATTGTATTCTTCTCCAAGTTTCCAATTTGCCTTGATCTGAACATCATGACCAAATCTCCAAAACTGTCCTTTCTTCCTTGGCCTCATCGACTCGTCCTCTTCCTGGTTTACACCTTTAAGGATGGCATTCCTTCCAGGGTGAGGTGGGGAACATTCTGTGCTTTGCCTCTTGTCTCCTCTTTGCTACCCCCATTTATGCCCAACTCCATCCACCTCCAACAAGCTGATGACTCTCAAAGCCTGCTGGGCTCCAGGCTCATGCCCATGACCACAGGCTCCCTAATATCCAGCACGCCCAAAACTAAGTCAGTATCTTCCCACTGCAACCCATCCATCTTGTATTTCTAATCTCAGTAAGTGACGCTCCATCCACCTATGCAGTGCTCACTCCTTTTTCTCAGCTTTATCACTTTCCCACCCCAACACTAAGCCATCCCCTTCTGCAGCTCTCCTCAATGAACATCTTGCGAACCCACCATTCCACTCTTCTCCCTGCTGCTGCCCTGCCTGAGGCTGCCCTCCTCATTTATCATTGTAGGGGTGTGTTTGGTGGTTCATGTATCTGTTTTCTCCCTTAAAATTAACCAGTTAATTATTAATTCATTGAACATCTGAGGCCTCACTACGTGGCACACAATGTGCTAGGTGCTAGAGATTCCCAAAGAAAAAGAATGAAGAAAAGAGAATGAATGAAGCTGTCCCTGACCTCAAAGAGCTCACAGCTGGGAAGACAGACACATTAATATCACTGTAGCACAACGTATGCAGCTCAGGAAGAAAAATGTGTGAAGGAGTACTGAAGAGGGAGCTGTGGGCAAGGGTTTTGAAGGAAGAGCAGGAATTAAGCAAAGAAGGTGACAGAGAAGGTATGTGCCAGGCTCAAGATTTCAGGATTTTATTTTGTAAGCAATAGGGAACCACTGGATTTTCTGATCCAGGGAATGAGACTTAGAGTCACCCACCACTTATGAGGTTAAATTAAAGAAACCCAAATGGTTCAGCAGGTTATAAACCAGAGCTGGCATTAGGGAATAAGCATCCATTTAGATGAGTTCTAAAAATACACTCAGGAGCCTGGTTCTCTGCAGGGATAATTGGGCATGTGTTAATCGATTTCCTGTGATTCTGCAAGACCATGGCAGAGACCATGTCACCTAGGACAGTCAAGGGCTGTCCAGCCTGGCCTATGGTCAGTCCATGGCAGCTGACCCAGGCTGCCTAACTGCACCAATGGACCCAGCTAGGGGAGCGGAGGAGGCTGCCGGTGACCCTAAGCCCA
The DNA here is from genome assembly GCF_000001405.40 of Homo sapiens. Classification (NCBI taxonomy): domain Eukaryota; kingdom Metazoa; phylum Chordata; class Mammalia; order Primates; family Hominidae; genus Homo; species Homo sapiens. The sequence continues at coordinate 30,935,751 of NC_000012.12, read as the reverse complement.
TGCAGGAAAATCACTGCCTCTCAGCACTAAGAGCACAGGGTTTTAATTTTCACACAATGGGTCACAAAAATACTTTTCCAAAAGAACAACGCTATATAATAGCACTTTAGGAGGCCGAGGTGGGTGGATCACCTGAGGTCAGGACTTCAAGACCAGCCTGGCCAACATGGTGAAACCCCGTCTCTACTAAAAATACAAAAACTAGCCGGGCATGTTGGTGGGTGCCTGTAATCCCAGCTACTCAGGAGGCTGAGGCAGGAGAATTGCTCGAACCAAGTAGGTGGAGGATGCAGTAAGCTGAGGTCACGCCATTGCACTCCAGCCTGGGCGACAAGAGTGAAACTCCATCTCCAAAAAAAAAAAAAAAAAAAAAAAAAACCCACAAAGCATTGGCTAACATACTCACTGCTCCCTTGAAGCCCAGCTTAATTATAGTGAAGGGTACAGTCTACACTTTTTCCCACACTCAGAGAATGATTTCTGTGATAATTTCCCCAGTCTTCTTGACTGAATGGATGTATGATTTCTGTGGAGAAGAGCCACTCTTTCTTCACCCCATGGAGACATCTTGCATGAGGCCCTGTCTGGGTGGGAGCTGTTTGCTCACCTCTCCGCAGGGAAGACCGGTGCTTGGCACAAGGGGAATTTGGCTGGGGAGAGTGTGTGTTCTTGGATCACAGGAGAGGGGCAGGGGCTGAGGAAGTCCTTGCTTCCCATGATGACCAAAGAAAGGGGAATTGCCAAAGTGATGCAAGGGACATCTGCTGACAGCTGTGTTGTGTTTATAAAGGCAATGGCACACAGATGGGGGTGGGGACAGGCAGAGGCCTAGGTTTCAGGGGGCAGAGTTCTTAGATTCAGGAGGTCCCTCTCTACTTGCCAGCATCTCAGGAAAGTCACTGACCCTCTCTGTGACTCAGTGTCTTTATCTGTATACTGAGAAAGTTATTGTAATAGCAGATTCTTTCAAATAAATTTTTATGTAGAGCAGGGGTGTCTAATGTTTTGGCTTCCCTGGGCCTCATTGGAAGAAGAATTGTCTTGGGCCACACATAAAATACCCTAACACTAATGACAGCTAACGAGCTAAAAGAAAAAAATTGCAAAAAAAAAAAAAAATCTCATAATATTTTAAGTTTCCGAATTTGTGTTGGGCCGCATTCAAAGCTGTCCTGGACCACATGCAGGCCAGAGGTTTGACAAACTTGATGTAAAACCTCAGTATATAAGGCAGATAGAGCAGGACCTCTTTTGTTGAAGGGGTGTGTTAAGCCTCCCCAGCCATGTGGAACTGTAAGTCCAATTAAACCTCTTTTCCTTCCCAGTCTCAGGTATGTCTTTATCAGCAGCGTGAGAATGGACTAAGACGCCAGAGAAGCTGAGCCTGGATGGACTTTTTGGAGCCTGTATCCAGGCCCTGGGATCTGAGTCCATGTGACCACAACAAGGCAGACATGGCTGCCAATTCCAGCAGGTGCAGAGCAGGAGTCCTCTCTGGTTGGCTGTGCTCTGCCCCTCAGGCATGGGGCCAAGACAGAAACATCTGAAGTGGGTCTTCCCGGTCACCCCTGTCCACCTGGGCCTGGCCCACCCAACAGCTGGGGGTTAGTGCCTTGCAGAAATTTGAGAAGGCTAGAGAGTTGGGTAATCATGACTCTGAAAGCCAGCATCCACAGTCCCCCAGAGAGCCGGGCCAAAGTGGATGACACCTCCAGGTTCTGGGGACTCCCAGGTTTGGATTTAGGACTGAGACTGGAGCTAGAGGCCCATAGGCATCTCTACTTATGGGGGCCCCGGTGTGTGTTCACTGCTGTGTGTAGGTGTGAAGGGAAGGGGTATAGAACATGGCTCCTCATGGCTGTCTAGAGGACATGGGAAGCATTCTAGGCCTCAAATCAACAATGATCCCAACTCAATCTGAACCAAGAGCTCACCATCAGGCTTGACACAGGAGACCCAGAGTCTAAGACATAGGGGCCTCAACAACACTGCTGTCCCTTCCACTGGACAGGGTCCCCAGAGCAGCCCCTCCTAGGTCCACAGCTGCAGCCACTAGAGCTGCAGCCACTAGAGCTGCAACCACTGTTTGCTTGACCTGACAATTTCTGAGAGCTGGATGGGCAATGACTCTGGTTGGATGCTGCAGAGGACACCCATGAGCTTCAGGGAGAGGTCTTCAGTGGAGCGGCTCCTGCACCATCCTGGGCAGAGGTAGGGGGTGGCTTTCCTCCCCTTCCCCATCCCCAGTGCTGAGAGGAAGGAGCTGGAAGGGGGAACATAAATGTGAGCCTGGTTCTCTGATGTTTGGTTTAGGGGTTGGGCTGTCACATACATGGAGGGAAGATTAATGTCTTACTGGCTGCAGGACCTTGGGCAGGTCACCTAACCTATCTGAGCCAGTGTCCTGGTTTGGGGGTTGGCTGTCACATACATGGAGGGAAGATTAATGTCACTCTTACTGGCTGGGGGACCTTGTGCAGGTCACCTAACCTACCTGAGCCAGTGTCCTCCTCTGCCCAGTTAAATTAGAGGACAAGGATCACCCAGAGAGTGACTGTGATGCCCCAGCCTGTGCCTGAATTCAGTCAGTGTTGGTTGGATGTGCAGCTGCCTCTCCCCACTAGAGCAGCAGCTGCAGCCCAGCAAGGGGATGGTGGCAGTTTGTCATCCTGCGGCTCTGGCAGGGGTCAGTCAGGCTGGAGGAGAGTCTAGCCTATGGGGTGGAAAGAGGGGCTCTCCCACAAAAGCCTTCATTGTGGACCACGTCATTTCATGCTTAAGGACATTTACAACCTGCCCACTGGGAATCAGAAAGGCAGCGTCATTCCCTTCCAGGCATCAGGAATTGAATTTAAAAAGCCAAATGACTTAAAATCTCATCTCCTTTCCCAGATAGGAGGATTTGAACAATTTCTCATTTGCTTTCAAAATAGTCCCTATCTTGTCTCCGAAACAGGATACCATGGCGTAGCAGTAAGCCTAAAAGACAGTTCCTTCCATGGAGTTGTAACTTGGGGGCCCCTGAAATTGTATAAAGCATTTTTACCATCTATGTGCTGCGGTTCCATAGGTTTTAGTAGATCTCCAAAGGAGTTTGTGACTCCCTCACACAAACAGGGTATGAATCACTGATGTCCAACCCTTCCTTCTTTTTTGGGTAGGCACAGACAAGTCCTGAATTATCAACTCTCGAGAGAAGGACCATATGCCCAGCACAGTCGCAGAGACCTAGTGAGCCCCAGGGATGCTACTAGAGGAATAAAAACAGTTGAGTTAGCGACGTTGAGTGCATTGATGAGTAGTTGAGAGCAGCAATGACACTGCTCTGGTAAGAACAAAATACACGTGCATATATGCACTATGAAATCGGAATTGTGTAGTTTGGTGATTCTACACACGTTAAATGCTCAGAGTCTTTTAAACTGGCATTGCACAATATAAGGATGAACAGTAAAATTCATACTAATAATTTAAAATTTTAATTTTTCTTTACTTAGAATATCATTAAATAGTAAATAAAAATACCACATGACAAGTTGAGAGAAAGACCATGGAAAAAAGGAAAGGGCTTATATTTATAAAGGTATAAAGATAACTTTAATGGTATCTTTTCCTGCATTTTGAGCTAGGGTTCCATGTTTTCATTTTGCACTGGGTCCCACAAATTACCTATCTGGCTCTGGTTGAGTCTCCCTGAGGCACAGTCTCGGTGATGACTCATGAGCTCCTTCCTGAAATGTCCATTCAATGAACATTTATTGAATTCCTACTGTTTGCCAAGCTTTGCACTCGTTGCTAGGGATAAAAAGTCAATAAACAATTGTATTCTCAAGTAGGATAGGATGAGGACTCTTTTTTTTTTTTTTTTTTTTGATACAGCGTCTCACTCTGTCGCCCAGGCTGGAGTGCAGTGGTGCGATCTCGGCTCACTGCAACCTCCATCTCCCAGATTCAAACGATTTTTCTGCCTCAGCTTCCCGAGTAGCTGGGATTACAGGCACCTACCACCACACGCAGCTAATTTTTGTATTTTTAATAGAGACGGGGTTTCACCATGTTGGCCAGGCTGGTCTTGAACTCCTGACCTCAGGTGATCTGCCTGCCTCGACCTCCCAAAGTGCTGGGATTACAGGCATGAGCCACCGCGCCCAGCCAGGTACTCTAATTCTAAAAGCACAGTATAGGACCGTGGTTTCCAACTATCAAAACCCTAGTGCTTATCTATAAAAGGCAGCTCTGGGAGAGAAATCTCTACCGCATTTCAAGAACGCTCATAGAAACCTGAATTTCTACCTGACCAAAAGGCTTCAGTCAAGCTACCACACCAGCTATGTGATTAAATGTTTGCTAACTGTGCCAGACCTCAGACAAACCAGACAACACCAGTCTGCTTCTGTCCTTTGTCCTTTTTTCTTCTGAGCTTTTTAAACACACTAGAATCTGCTAGCAAGTGACCTCAACTGATATGTATCAAGCAGAAAGGAATCAAACTATCAGTTATAGGGTCTTTGATTATTAATCTTTTTAAGATAGAGAAACACATTCTCATTTATATTGAAGTTTGGCTGACAAAACCCTTTCAAAACACGAAGTACATATTAAAAAAAAAATGAATGCCTAAGCCAGGATAGGGCTGAGAACCACTGGGGGGTTTATCCCACACTACCATCAAGGAGGGTCCCCTACTCCCTTTCAACACAGACCAGGGGACCACCAGAGCAATTCTCATTTCCTGAACCTCTGTAACATCCTCAATTCTTGGTATTTTACAGCAAAAATCCTTAAGCCTCTAAGCAGGGCCATGTGCTTGTATGTGTGCAGGGCAGTGAGAGAGGGAGGGTGAGGCTGCCAGGATGCAGCCACTTCCCCCTCCATAGTTGTGAGTGGAAGTCGCATGGCCAGTTGGAAAAGCATCCCAGGGAGAAAGGGAGTGCTTGACTGGCCTGGGGCCTACCCAGCCCGACGCCACAGACCCCCTGACTACTACAGGGGAGACCAGCATTAGACAAGGTCCCACAGTAGTCACCACTCTTCAAGCCCCCTCCTTGCCATAAGACCTTTTTCAAATTCCTTCACTGTGGTCATCAGATACCTGGGCGCTCCGTACCCCTCTTCTGAGTTCAGCTTAGGCAGGCATCCATGCACCCTGCTACGAGTTGAGGTCATTTCCTCGATTTACAGATGAGGAAATTGAAGCTTAGCAAGGTCACATAACACACGGAAGGTCACACGGAGAGGAAGGGGCAGAGCCAGGATCTGTGCCTGAACCATCTGGCCCTAGAGCTGGGCTCTCCGGCCACCCTTGCTGCTGGCTGCCTCTGCCTGCCCTCTCTGCACACCTTTCCTTCTCGCAGCTCCAGCTGGGGCTTGGGTGAGTGCCACTTAGTCTGCACTCAGCTGTTTTCTCATCCCTTCCTGGGAATGAGTTTAATGTCCTCAACAATGAGTGCTCAGAGGTCGGGGGCTGGGTCCTTAATGCATGTCTCATAGCCTGGAGGTTCAAAGCTCACAGCAGGCACTTGGAAAACATACATGTACAGTGTATATTTGCTGCCCCCTTCCCAACTCCCTCTACCCTGTGGAGTGCCATCTTGTGAGTATAAACCTATGAGCCCAGAAACCCACCAGAGTCAGCAAGAGCAGGGCATCTACACGAAGCAAGGGCAGTATCAATGGAATGAACAGAGGGTCCAGTTCTCTACTCCCGACCCTTCTCTCCACAGTCTCCGTCCTCAACAACCCACCTAAACCAACCAAACAGAACACCACCACCTCCTCTATCATGGGCACGGTCATTAATGCTCCCCCTATGGGGCTTAGAAAAGGGTGGTAAATCTAGATTCTGAGCCCCAAACCTGGACATGGTGTTGGACACAGCAGCTGTGCTGCCACTTCCAAGTATATTTCTAGGAAAAGGCAGCACAAGAGACTATTTTACGTGGAGGAGAGCTTGGAAACCCCAGGAAACATGGCTGCTGTAAATACAGATCAGGGTCATCACATGTAAATATAGCCAGGTTTCATCACGTGGCTGTCGTCTACGCTCAGTAATCACTCAGAGACCAGAGTTCCTCAGCACTGCCAACTACTCAAGAAAAACATTGCTGAGTGGACATCTACTGGGGGTGAGGCACATCTGGGCAAGTATGCCTGGGAACACCCCCAATAGAGGACGATAACAGACAGAGTCACCCTAGATAGGTAGCTCTCAAATATCTGCGCACAGCTTGTCCACCTTGCAGATGTTTCGTGTCCTCCGTCTGGTGCCTGTCTCAGATATAGATGGGTTCGAGTTCTCACATAGCCCTTGTTGCTGTGTTGTAAGCAAAATCATTTCCATATTAACTCTGACCAAAATTCAAGAAATTAAACCAGTAGCATAAAAATAGCCATAGGATGAATTCCATGGCCAAGCAGAAATGGTTTGTGGAATAACCACTTTGTATGTCTGAATCCTGCCTATAATCCTCGTTGAGGGTCAAGTGCGGATTTCTTCCAGTTGCGGTACTATTATTTCTACTTGGAGTTGAAAAGACCCCTCTAAGTCTTCTGGTGCAACGGTTTTCTAGTTTTATTTTAGTGAGAGAGGCTTTTCTTCAAAGGAGATCCTATCTGAAAGCTGACATGTAACTTAGATTGACCCCGAGCTGCTGGTGTGAGGGACCTGGCGCCCTGCCAGTGGAGCCTGCTCTTCCCTTCCAGAGCTCCTGGGAGGACAATTTGAAAAACACATATGCACATCCCCTTACTAATTTATTCACTCACTCACTCATTCACAAACAATAATATCTCTTGAGCACCTACTGTGTTGCAGGTGGAGCCAGCAGGCAACGGCACAAAGGCAGTCCCGCTTTTGGTGAGCTCACATTGTAGTAGGATGTGGCAAAGCTAAGTTCAGACAGGTCGCAAGTGCTAGGAAGGAACAATGATGTGATCATGGCTGGGAGGTGGCTACTTTAGATGGGGGATCAGGAAAGGCCTCTCTGAGGAAGCAAAACACAGTTGAAAACAGAATGATAATCTGGAAAGATGCCCTGATTTGGACCAAAGAAGAAGCAGACCCAGAGAGGTGATGTGACCTTCCCCAGGCAGGGAGCTGAGCCGGGACCTGACCTGGGTTGCCGGCATCTCCCATCCAAGGATCTTTCCTTTTACAAACACTACTAAACAGCTATCACATACAAAGAAGTCTCAGTGACAGGTGACATCCGAGGGTGGACAAACCACCCAACTACATCCTGGAATTCGGTGCCGTCTGTGCATGACTTTTGATGCCTCCCTCCTTCTTCAGCCCAGTCCAGCGTTGGCCCTGGGTCTGAAGGCACTGTAACCCAAGAGATAGAACTTGGTGGTGGACACCCCAGGCCTGTGACCTTGGCTGGGAAAGCTTCTTCATCTCCTATCTCCCTGGCTACAAACTGTGAAGGGTGCTCCTTACTGCTTCATTTGGCGGCATAAAAAGAAAAGCAAGTTGGTGGTTATAAATGTCCTGGGCTCATCTGAAGAAAGGCTCTCTGGAAAGTCAAGGTGCTCTAGGCAGACTTAAAGACATCAACGCCAGTTTTCCTCTTGTTCTGCAGCACTCACACAAGAACTATGGGGAATCACACAGGCCTGTACATATTTTACACACGAGTCCAAAGGTGGGTATAAAATTCCTGCTATGCTGAATATAGTGGGAAACAGCACACAAATGCCTCCCTCTGCTACCCACAAACCAAACAGCTCTGGGCCACCTAAGCCCTCGCCAGACCACCAACTTGGCCCCTGTAGGCCAGTAGTGCCCCTTACCCTAGGAGTCTTAACTATCATCAAAGCATTTCCAGGCATTAATTGGAGCCTCCAGTCCCTTGGGAGACAGATGGGGCCAGTGGTTATTAGTCCCATTTTGCACAAAAAGCAACTGAGCCCCAGATGACCTATCTGTCCAGGGAACAATGCTACTGACACAGTGACAACCATTAAGTTCTGATTCAAACCTGTCTCCAGCCTCTAACTGCTGCTTTCCACTGCAATCCAGCTGCCCACAAATTGAACACAGACTATCCACTTTGGCCTAATACCACCCTCATTCTCTTCTTCACGCTCCCCCACACACACCCTATGCCCCAGAGTGCACTTATGAGTTTTTCCAGAAGCTGCCTCTTCTCCTCACCCCCCACCCCCACGCTCACCTCACAATACTTGCCACGAACTGGAGACCTCTGGAACACTTATTCCTCCTGCACACAGCAGCTTAGACTCAAGTTAAGATGCTGTCCCGCCAAGCCCAACTGGGCTGCCTCCCTTTCATACTTTCCACCAATTCACACATGTGCACACTGCACATATGGCTGGTGAAAAGGATACACCCCAGAACCTTCCATGCCTTCTTTCCACACGGAGCCGGCCAACTGCACATGCAGGGATGGGCACGAAAACACAGGTGACAGGGCCTACACAGCCATGTTGTCACAAATACACAGACGTGCCCAGAACATGAGGACATCCCTGCACAGGCAGACAGGCCCTCTGAAAGCAATGTGCACCAGATACAGCATTTTGGTGTAGCCATGAGAGGCAGCTACTCGAATTCAGGGTGGACAAAGAATGACATTTTCAAGAGGAACAGACATGCCCCGGGCACGCTGGACGGCACGAGGCCCTCAGAGGCCCAGAGCTCTCTCCCAAGGCACAAGTGCAGAAAGGCAGACTCATGCGCATAGTTATGGACACCGTGTTGCGTGTCCCATGCAGACACCAATACCTGCTCACATGCCCCGCGAGTGTCCCAGGCATTCCTGCCTCCTCCACTCCTCATCCCCAGCCGGCTTCCCTCTGCCCGCCCGGGGGAAGCTCGGGACAGTCTAGCTCGGGACTGCCGGCGGGGCGGGCAGCGGAGGTGGAGGCGCCTCTCCTGGACCCCCAGCCCCCTCCCGCGGCGCCCCCACTCCTCGGGCGCGCTTCTGCACTTACCCTGCCAGGGGCTCCGGAAGCGGCGAAGGGAGCTGCGCCTAGAGAGACTGAGAGCGGCGGCTCCCGGGGCCGCCCAGCCGCCCACCGCCCGCAGCCAGCGCTCCTCCCTCCCAGCCCGGGAAGGTCAGCGTGTGGGCAGCCCGGCCCGCGCCCCTGCGCCCACTGAGGCTTCCTGCCGGCCCTCTAGTCCCCGCCTGCCCAGCGCTCGGCCGCGACGCCCCGGCGCCGGCTCTCCCAGCCCAGCCGGCAGGACGCGCCCGGGAGCCCCGCACGCGAGCTGCCGGCTCTTTGTTTGGGGGTTTGCCTCTCTGCGATTCAGAGCACGCGGAGGGAATTAAGTCAGAGTCCGAGGCAGCTGTGCGGTTGCCGGGGGGATCCCTAAGGGGGGCGGGGCAAAAGGACGGACTAGTAGGGCGGTGGAGCGGCTTTCAAACTCCCCGCGCTCCGCAGCTCCCCGCTTAGGTCTCCCTGCCCTTTACGTTTGTCGGCCCCTGGGAGAGGTTGGCCTTTGGGGGTTTCCAGGGACCCTAGGGACAAGCCTGTCTGATAAGAGAGAGGTTCTCCATCCCCCTTCCTCACCAGCCCCCATCACTGCCGTGTCCCTCTTAGAGTCCTGTGGAGCATCAGCTTTACATTTCCTGGGCCCCGGGGAGAATCAAGGTCTCTCTAATCTGAAGCAAAAAGGAATAACAGAGAGTAGAGCCCATCTGTTCCTGCTGAGTCCCTGTGAAGGTGCAAAGCTGGCCCTAACGGGACTGGCCCTAACAGTGGGGCATGGATTATCTATTTCCCAAAGTAACAAGGGCCTTGTGCTTATCCAACCGTGTTCTTTTGAAACTTAGCTGCAGTGAGGAAGATTACCCATTTACCAGGTTGCTAGATCAGGGAAGCCACTGGAGGCAGGGGACGCTGACAAAGCCACTGTACCGGGAGCACCAACGTTCTAAATACCCCAGCTGGCTGCTGAGAAGGGCTTCGCGGGGGGCCACACAGGAAGGAGATGATTCCAATAGTCCCGTGAGATGAGGACCTTAACTGGGGGATGAATGCGGAAGCTGCAGCAAAGGAGAGTCTACAGACTGTGTGGTGTAGGAGGAGCACACTGGGGCTGTAACATTGTGGAAGTCTGGAGGAGAACCTGGAGTGATGTGACTGAGTTTAGTGTGGAGCAAGTTGGATTGGAGAAGCAGGCCACCTTCTTCCAGGGGCAGATATCCAGCAAATGCAATTGGAAGGGTGATTCTGGAGTTCATAGGAGAGACTGAGGCAAGGGATGTCAATTTTGGAATCATCTGGAAAGAAGTTGGGCCGACACAAGAGGTGGAGGGAGAGGGTAGAAAAGGTACAGAGAACAGGGCTGAAGACAGAATCTAGGTCTACCGAGAAGGAGCCCATGAAAGGAACGGAAACTATCAGGAGAAACCATAAGGGAAGGTCAGGACTGTGCGGGGTGTCAGGACTCAGGAGAAGAGGGAGGTTCAATGGGGGCCGGGGCCCGGGCTGCAGGGACACCACGGAGGAGGGCGCCCAAGAAAATAGGTTTAGATTTAGAAAGAAGGAGATCTCTGGGCTAGTTCAAGATAACTATTTGAGTGGTGGCTTATATAAACCAGGTTGCCACTCCTTGGGGCGGGGCATCTGTATCTCGGATCCAATTGGTTGATGGGGAGATACAAAGGTTCACCTCTTTGCTTCCATTACGGAGGGCCCTGAAGGGCCACCCCAGCTCCATAGCTTCCCAAGGGATCCGCCGAGGCCTCTGTGGAAAGCAGCACAGTTAAAGTTCATTCTCTGCCGAATCCTGTTTCCCTCACTCTCTCAAGGTGTTGTTCCCAAGAGCACGTCCCAGGAGACCTCCCACATACCATCTCCATCTCTGTGCAGAGTCTGTTTCCTAGAAATCCAACCGGAGGTACAGGGACACTGAGAAAGGGCGCAGGAAACAAAACTTGGCCTCTAACGGAGCAGTTTAAACAGACAGGGATGGTTAGAAAGACTCAGAGAAGGTGGTGTGAAGGAAAGAGCCTGGGGAATGGGGAGCGAAGAGGAAGCTTATTCGTAGTAGAAGATGGATTTTCAAAAGCCGGATGGAAGAGAGAAGAGTGGAGTAGGCCCGAGGAGGGGAGAATGCTGGAAGAGGGTAAGGGTGAGGGGAGGTCAGTATTCACCAAAGTTAATAACATTAAAACAGCAATGAGGAAAGAGAGGGTTGGAAAACGGCCTGGAGTGACTTTCTAGCAGTAGGAGAGGGTGAGTGATGAATGAAGCTCTGGGCTAGGGTAGTCCCTCTCCAGCAGTATCCCCAGTAACATTAAACGTTTACAGTGGAGAACCAATGGAAATATAATATGTAATTAAAAATTTTCCGTGAGCCACGTTTAAAAAAAAAAATCAATATAAAGAAACAGGTGAAAGTAATTGTAATGATATATTTTATTTAACACAGTATATCTAAAATATCATTTCAGCGTGTGTCAATATGAAAAATCAACGATAAGATATTTTACATTTTTTCCTACTAAGTCTTCCAACTCTGGTTATATTTTATGTGTATTGCACATCTACATGCAAACACTACATTTTCATTGGAAATATTCAGTGTGTATTTAGATTTCATAACGTTTTGGTTGAGGAAATAGATTTACAAGCCTACGTTGTTATATACATACTTAGCTTTCCAACAATAAAATCAAATGATCAGTTTTTAAATTTGTTTATATTAATTAAAATTAAATGAAATAATCCAGCCCTTCAGTTGCATGTGGCACATCTCAAGTGCTCAGTAGCCACATGTGGCTAGTGGCTACCATATCAGACCACATAGGCCTAGAATTCTAATTCCTAGACTTTTTGATTTTGGCTTTCTTTTGTCCTTACCTTTTATGAAGGAATTGGCCTCTTCTACCAGCACTGCACCATTAACAAGATCCTAACCTATTCCATGTTATTTCACAAAACATACTTGAAGAAGGTGAGGGGGAAGAATGAGAATCCACCATCTATGAAAATGGAGATGGGAATTCAGCTTGGACTAGAAAAGGTATGAGGAAGATGAGATAGGAGTTGGAAATATTCCATTTTGATTCTTATTCTGTGGTTGTATGAGGAGGGAGGTTTCTCTGCCAGGTTGGGTACTCCAGAGATTGAATGGACGGTGCTGTGAGAATGAACAGGACAACTCCTGTTTGTACAGGCTCCCATTTTAGCAGCTTTCCATGAGCATGGAGCATTGGTTGAGTCACGAACACTAGGATGTGGTTAAGTATTTGGAAAAAAAAATGGAAGGGGCTAAGTGAAATCCTCCAAAGGAGAGTTTTAATCCCAGATCTGGAGACCTGTGCCCCTGCTATGGTTTGGATATGGTTTGTTTGTCCCCTCCAAGTCTCATGTTGAAATTTACTCCCCAGTGTTGGAGGTGGGGCCTGGTGGGAGGTGTTCAAGTCAGGGGGTGGATCCCTCATAAATGGCTTGGTGCCATTCTTGCAAGAGTGAGTTCTTGCTGTTAGTTCCTGTGAGAACTGATTGTTGAAAAGAGCCTGGCACCTCCTCCACACTCTCTGCCACCTCTCCCAACTTGTGATCTGTATATGCGGCTCCCCTTCACCATCCCCCATGAGTAGAAGCTTCCTGAGGCCCTTGTCAGAAGCAGATGTTATCACCATGCTTCCTATACAGCCTGTAGAACCATGAGCCAAATGAACTCCTTTTCTTTATAAACTACCCAGCCTCAGATATTCCTTTTATAGCAACACAAATTGACTAAGACAGCCCCATATTCAGGCCTGTAGCTCATCTTCTGTCCCGGCGGGGTGCTGGCAGCTTCTGCTTTTAGGCCATGCTCTGGCACCATTTCCCTGCCTTTATATCTGATAGGGAGATCTGTCAATGGATGCAGTAGTAATGGAGTTTGTAGAGACTCCTTTAGAAATTTAGGGAAAAATCCCCAAAAAACCCAACTTAGACTTCCTTGTTTGTTATCTGAAATGACCTACATCTATTGCTACTTGGTGATATAGTGTAGCTCTTGTGAGACCCTGCTCCATGCCAGCACAGGGCCTGATAGCCTCTCTACCCAACAACAGTGTCCATATCCATTCCTAGAAATGGAGTCACAGAAAATACCATTTTTTGTTTTGTGGATGGCTTAACGGTAATTTTTTGTTTTGTGGTTAACTTAACGGTAACACACACACACACACACACACACACACACACACACACACACACGACAGTGAGGAGAATGTTCTGTTATTGTTGGCATCCCCCGGATATATGGCACGTTAACTTGGCATTCAGGTTGTACAGTAAACCCTCATAGGTCAGGAACTGTAAAACTTGCTTTTCTCCATCCTCCGAGCATAAGCTTGTCTTTCTTTTTCTTTTTTTTTTCTTTTTTTGAGACGGAGTCTCGCTCTGTTGCCCAGGCTGGAGTGCAGTGGCACGATCCCGGTTCACTGCAAGCTCCGCCTCCCGGGTTCACGCCATTCTCCTGCCTCAGCCTCCCGAGTAGTTGGGACCACAGGCACCTGCCACCACGGCTGGCTAATTCTTTGTATTTTTAGTAAAGATGGAATTTCACCGTGTTAGCCAGGATGGTCTCGATCTCCTGACCTCGTGATCCGCCCGCCTCGGCCTCCCAAAGTGCTGGGATTACAGGCATGAGCCACCGCGCTGGGCCAAGCTTGTCTTTCAAAACAATTTCTAGTCACTACCTAGGAGGATTGCAAGGAAATGAAGCTACTTCTGCCTCCTTGACATCCATGCTTGGTTAAGCTGCTGTCCTGATATGGCCCTAATGAGTACTCTTTGTATAAACTCGTGACTGAGCCATTCTGAGGAAGATCAGTTAGGTTCTTGGAGATATTAATGGAAAACATTCCCTTCAGGATACCCATCAGAGACAGCTAATCTGACTCAGCCTCCATCTTTAAAATGGGGAGAAACTCCTCCTAAGATTCTTTCTACTCTCTTAGAAAGTGGAAACTAGCCTTGGTTTTTTAATCCATGTGAAAAATAGAGCTAAAAAGCCTTTTGTTAGCATCTGTCTTTCTTCTGGAAGGACTAGGGAATGACCAGATGTTAAATATTGATCAGTTAGGCTTAGCTTTAATTCAGCCTACATTTGGCTATGAACTTGATGACTGACCCTTCTGATTTTTGCAATAGTATCTGCTGCTTAATAGGTAAAGAAATGACTGCGGAATTGAACCTCACAGTCTCAGGTATAATTCCCATGAGAAAGATGTTACAAGCAGGAATTTTTCAACTGTTTTCAGGCATACTTCCAATCACACCAAGAACATTAGTTGCACTAATTAGTGCTTGAAATATTGATCTTCATTAGCAGTGTCAAAAGCATTGCTCAAATGTCCGTGCTCTCTTGGCATTCTACATGAAGGAACTTACAGTTTGGTTCTTTCCCAGGAGAAAATTAGTGAGAGCAAAACAGAAAAACATATCTAGTATACAGGAAACATAAGTAGAGAGAGCTGAGCAAATATATAAATAACATACAAAATGATAATTATTTACAAATGGAATTTTTTTTTTTTTTTTTTTTTTTGCTACAGGTAGCACACTGCTAATCCTCTCTCATCTTCTCCAGGAAGCTTTCTAAAGCCTGCTTCTGTAAGGTTCTCTGGACCCAAAGTCACATACTGGGAAGGAAGAGAAGCCTTTGGATAAACATCATGAATTTTCCTGGAGCAACTGTTCTATTTAAGATTTTATATAATATTTTTTGGAAAGAAGGGAATAGGTTTTAAAAAATATTTTCAAAAGTGTAACATCCATCTATGCTCATTTTAGACAATTTGATCAGTATAAAATATTAAATAAGAACGTTAAAAACCACTTGGACTCTTACCTATCATAAATAACCACTGTATTACTGGATTTTGGTGAATATCTTTTAATTGTGTGTGTTTGTGAGTATGTGTTTGTAATCAGATTTTTTTAAATTTGAGGCTATATTCTAGTCAGCTTTTTATGTCAATGGATTTAAGAATATGTTACATCACTTTAAATGTAATGTATGGATATACCACAATTTATTTAACTAATACCCTATTAATGAATATTTAAGATGTTTTCTTTTCTTTTTTTTTTGAGATAAAGTCTCACTCTGTTGCCCAGGCTGGAGTGCAGTGGCGTGATCTGGGCTCACTGCAACCTCCACCTCCTGAGTTCAAGTTGATTCTCCTGCTCAGCCTCCCGAGTAGCTGGGATTACAGACACGCACCACCATGCCCAGCTAATTTTTGTATTTTTAGTAGAGACAGGGTTTCACCATGTTGGCCAGGCTGAGCTTGAACTCCTGACCTCAGAAGATCCGCCCACCTAGGCCTCCCAAAGTGCTGGGATTACAGGCGTGAGCCACGCTTCCAGCCAGGATGTTTTCAATGAAAAAAGATTTTTGATGATGTTGTTATGAAACATTCTTTAATATATATACTTGCCTACTTATTCAATTATTTCTTTATGGCAAATTCCTACAAAATGAGTCACAGAAAGTATTTATTTTGGTAGCTGAACACACACACACGCTCGTATAGATATATTCACACATACACATACACACATGTATACATACGTATGTATGTGTATATATAGACCTATTCACATGTACACACATATATACATACATATGTATGTGTACATATATATATATAAAGTCAAAAATGTTTTAAACTTAAATATGGTTGTTACTTCTTGAGAAGAGACTGGGATTGGGGATGCAGTCAGAGGAATTTGACCAAACCTATAATCTTTTAGTTTTTTCACAGGGAGAAAATATATGTATAACTTAAAATTAGTTAAAATTAAGGGTAACAATAACCAAAAATGGACAAGATAAAGTAGTTATCAAGTGGCAATCACACATCATTGCAAATAAAATGATCTGCTTCCTTTTGCTGAAAATACTTAACGGTAACTACTGGAAGAATAGAAATACGATATGTAAATGTTAAACTGCTGAAAGAAAAAAACAAAGGGAACCAGGACACCTAAAACCTTGATTAATCCAACAAAAGTAAGAAATGAAAAAATTAAAAGAAACAACAAGAAAGCGCATAACTAAAAAGTACAAGCATGTGGACAAATATGTCCAAATATGCCAATATTTGGAATTAATATGATTTGGTTAATGTGTCTATTAAAAGATGGCAACTCTCTGGATAACAAAACCAAATGCAGTTATATGTTACTTAAAAGGGACACACATGAAAAAATGACACAAAGTTTCAAAATAAAGGAGTGGAAAAGATGTATTAACTAAGGAAATGCTGGCACCAAGAAGTAGATATGCCAATATTAATATAAGATAAAATGAATCCAAAGCCCAAAGAATTCATGGTCACAGAAGACTATTTATTTATTTCTTTATTTAGAGATGGGGTCTTGCTCTGTCACCCAGGCTGGAGTGCAGTGGCATGATCTTGGCTCACTGCAATCTCCATCTCCCAGGTTCAAGCAATTCTCCTGCCTCAGCCTCCCAAGTAGCTGGGATTACAGGTGTATGCCACCATGCCCAGCTAATTTTGTATTTTTAGTAGAGACGGGGTTTCTCCATGTTGGCCAGGCTGGCCTCGAACTCCTGACCTCAAGTGATCTGCCCGCCTTGGCCTCCCAAAGTGCTGGGACTACAGGCGTGAGCCACCGTGCCTGGCCAAAGAAGACTTTTTTTTATTTTGTTCGTGTCCACCCATGAACCTTTGTGCATAGCTCCAAAATGTATAAAGCAAAGATGATAGGACAAGTAGACAAAAAATAACCCAAGGATTGAGAGGTGCACTTTCCAATATAGTAGCCACTAGCCACACAGTATAGCCAGTAGTCACTAGGTTATTTAATACTTCAAATATGGCTAATCCACGTTGAAATGTGCTATAAAGTGTAAAACATACATTGGATTTCAAAGACTTGGTATGAAAAAATAAAGTAAAATAGCTCGAATATTTTAAATATTGATTATATTTTGAAAAGATCATACTTTAGATATGAGTTAAATAAAATCTATTAAAATTATGAGAACTTATGAACACAAAGAAGGAAACAACGACACTGGGGTCTTCTTGAGGGTGGAGGTTGGGAGGAGGGAGAGGAGCAGAAAAGATAAATATTGGGTAGTGAGCTTAATTCCTGGGTGATGAAATGATCTGTATGACAAACCTCTGTGACATGAGTTTATATATGTAACACACCTTCACATGTACCCTCAAACCTACAATAAAAGTTAAAAAAGATTGCAACCTAAAATAAATGGATAAATAAAATCTGTTAAAATTAATCTCATCAGTTTATTTTTGCTTATTTTAAAGTGGTGACTAGAAAATTTAAAATAACATACGTGTTTCTCATTGTATTTTTATTGGACAGCACTGAAGAGGATTTAAATGAACACAAATAACAAATATGGTATAATAATTATAGAAAAGAAACATTTTGACTTATCAGATTTTATGTTCTTTTCAGTCATGCAATATTTATAAATTGATCAATCACCTGACCATAGGAAGATCTCAAAAACATGTGAAAACTAGTTTTGGCAGAGGCTGTGATATCCAAACACAATGCTTTTCCCAACTCAAATGGAAATCATTATTGCCTATACCAATTTCTGTTGCCCTTCCCAGTGATTATGGGGAGGTGTCTATGCAGGTGGGGTCTGCAGATAGCATGACCCTGATGGCAGGGATTCTCTATCCCTCTCAGGAGTCCATGGCACCAGAGGTCCTACTCTGCCTGTTGGCCCCAGCTCACAAGATTTATTGAGTCAGAACTCCCCTTTCAGAGCGCAGTGACAACAGCTTGAACCTAGGAGGAAATGCTTTATCTACAAATTTGCTCCATGTAAATGGAGGCCTGAAGGGGACAGGCCTGACTGGCTCAGCTGTTCTGAAGTATTCACCTGATGACATTGAGATCCCAGGCTCTCTTCCCCACATGGATCTCATCACTCTTAACTTGGGGTGCTCTGGAACTGTTCTTGCCTTGTGTAGTCCCTCCTACTCATTTTGGCTTGGTGGTTTTTTTTTTTCTTACCTTCTCTTGTTTTTGTTTTTAATCAATTCAGTCCTATCTTTCTAAAAAAATCATACTTCAATATTTCTAGTCTGCAGGTAGCATTCTTCCTTGATTTCCAGCCACATTATAAATCTATTTTTTTCAAAATATAATTTCTGTTATTTCATGGTACTTTGTGTAGGTGAAGATGTAGAAGATGGTACGCACTCTGACCTCCTCCTGATCCATCATGATATAAGTTTTTGTATATTTATCTCATAACCAGTCACCTTACTAAAGACACTTTTCATATTAAAGTAAACACTATGTATCATTACAAAGAATTCATGCAAAATATTTTTCAGTGACATAAGAACTCAAGTAAATTATGTTCTTGTGTCATAGAACACAAGGTTGTGGAGGGTTGCTATACTGCAGATTCTTCTTGTTACTAGGGATACTTTGAGGACAAAATTTCGGAAGCTTGATTTAAAAAAAGGATTTTGACTGCCTTGAATTAGCATCTCAATCACTCTTTCTCTCTCCCTCTCCCTCTCTTTCTCTCTATCTCCCCACCACCCAACCCTTTCTTTCTTCCTTTTTCCTGGTTGCCCGCAACTACAGACAAAACCTACTTTATGGTCATGCAATCTGTGCAGTTACACAAAGCCCCACACTTTGATGGGCCTAGCACATCATTAAATGCTCTACTCTTGCTATCTTGAAATTCTCAATAATTTTTGAAAAAGAGTCTTCACGTTTTCATTTTGTACTAGTCCTTGGTATTTCTGCAAAACACCTAGCTAGTGTTATACATTTTCTACCCAAGTTAAAAGAGTATAGCTTGTGGCATTTTGCTGAGCCCAAAGCAAAAATACATCATGTGTATCTTGGGAAAATTCTTACCTTTACTTTAGGATTGGTGACAGTGGTGGGAGGTTTGAATTTGGGGGAAGGATTAGGACCAGAGCCACATCCATTAGGACTCTTTTGTGAGCTGGCTTCACCTTCACCTCTTGATGCTCTTATTCATGCTTTCCTCTCCAGTCCATATCACAGCTTGCAGCTCAGTACACACAATTTGTCCTTTCTTCCACACATTTGCCCAAGTGCTTTCCATTGCTCTCAGTGCCCTTTCCCACCCTGTCTGCTTGGTGAATTCCTATTTAATCTTCACATTTTGCTTTAGTTATCACCTCCTTTAGGAAGCCCTCCCTGGCCTCTCTAGGCAGAGTTAAGTGACTTGTTTTTATCTCAAATCTCTAAGAAGAACTTAATATGGAACAGAATTTTTTTAATATACTTCTTTTCCACTAGAACCACTAGAGTGATGATTCCCAACTTCTGTTGTGTGTGTGTGCATACATCACAGCATTAAAATACTAAAACACACTAAACAAGTCAGGAATCATTACAATGCAATTACTACTGCAGTATAAATGATTTTCAAAGCAACTATAAAAGCACCCAACTATTGCCAGACTATCATTTGGTCTCCCTTTAATACTGGTTTTCTGTTCTGTTACATTTTTTTATGTTCCAATAAACACCAGTTTGGCCAGATTTTACATTTCTCACCTCACATCATAGCCAGCTTACCCCATGCTCCATTGTGATATGACGTTTTGGGGTCTGTGCTCCATTTGACAGGCATTGCTAGCATGTATATCCCATTAGAATGAAAATATATGTTAGATGTTAATTGAAATTTGGCAACCCACCATGAACACCAGGATCAGTTACACAGATTGTTGACTGCACCAGGGTGCTCAGTTGAGGGGAAAAAGGGGGACCAATGGTCAGTTTAATGTGCTCACCTGGCTGTGTGCACCCTGGACTGCACCTGTCCCAAAGGCAGGCCTTTTTAAAATTTGTACAAAAGGTATCATTGGGACTAATGGTGGGGGCTCTGGCTTGGGCATTCCTGGGTGCCACAGCAGGTTCTTTGGGAACTGCTAGAGAGCAAGGGCTGGATTCTATTCATCTTTACTTCCCTAGCACTTAGTATAGTGCTGGACAATAACAGAACTGAAAACATGTAGAATAAATTATAAAACCATCAAGACTCTCTGCTAATGGTGTGCAACATGATTTTGGCCTAGTCTATAGCCTTGTTAACATAAATTTTCCAATCTGGTCTGCTGGTGCAGATTTAAGTGGCTCTTAAATGTGGTGTCCAATACACTATGTGATATGGTAAAAGTTATAGCTATCACCCCAACCCCTAATCCCCAGCCTCCAAGAATCATGCATAGCCCTGGATCCCTTGCATCTGTGCTGAAGTCCAGAAAAATCCCTGGGGGTAGTTAAACTCTCAATTAGCCTTCATCAAGTGTGCTGTCGTGGAAAGAAAGGCCGGAGTCTGCTGACCAATGCACTTCCTTCTTATCAGACAGGAATTCCTGCGATCTCTCTCCCTGCCGCATTTCCTACATAGCACATATGTGATGAGCGCGGTTTTAGAAATTAGCACTTAATGAGAACTTGAAAATTCTAGCACTGGGAGATGGCTTAGAGGTCACCTAGTCTGATCTCACAATCAGGAGATTGATCCCCAGAGAGGAAGGTGATGTCACATGGTCAGGTGTTGGCAGAATAGCCTTTGGAGCCTCCGCCTCCCTCCTGTGGTCCTGTGTGTGCCTTACTCCTTCCTTTCATTCAGGTCTGCAGCAGTTTCTCTTCCCACCTACCCTGAACTGCCCTCTGGCCATTCCCTAGTCCTACTCTAAGAGGTGGCAGAGCCGAACCCAGGAGGGTGGGGAGAGGAAATGGCAGCAAGGTCTATCTGCTCCCCAGTCGGCAGGCCTCTGTCTGGAGATATCACATTGACACTGCTGGATTTGTGCTAATGAAGAGTCAGAAAATCAGCCAGACTCTCATGGGGTACAGGCTGAGAGTGGAGGCCAGCAACTGAGGCAGTGGGTGACCCACTCACATCGGGCTGAGTGTTGCGTACAGTGCCCGGAAGTCAAACCCACACACTCTCTTCAATCACAGAGTTCCCATCACGTTCCTCATTTTGTCTCAAGCACCTGCTTTTGAAGCCTTGGGGGAGGGACCAGCACACAGGCTTTGCAAATGTGTCTTCTTGGAAGCCTGTGTGTGGGGTCTGGCCCCACCCTCCCACCCCAGGCTCAGGGCCTGCAGTGGCTCCGGAGAGTTAGGGACTTGGCTACCCCAATGACTCCCACCCTCTGACCTCAGAGACCTCCCAATCCAATTGCCTCACAGGTCGGATGAGGAAATGGAAGTCCTGAGAGAGAGCAAGAGTGAGAGAGAGCAAGAGCGAGCGAGAGTGAGAGTGAGAGAGAGGCTAATGGCTGCAACAAGAAAAGGCAGTAGACTCAGGCCTCTTGACTTCTTGACTCTTTCCAGCACAGCAGGCTCCTGTTGGTTCTTGAGTCCTCAGATGGACTCCCCCAGTTGGTCAGCAAGCCAGACTGGGGACCACCACCACCAAGTCTCCTTGTGGATTTTCATTCCTCCATTTAATAAATGTTTCAAGGGCACTTACCATGGGCCTGGCACTGCTGTCAGCACTGGAAGTGCAGCAAAGAACAACATAGATAATGCCCCAGCTCTCACTGAGCTTAAAGTCTAGTGGAGCACACAGATAATGAGTGAATGAACATAGAGAAACAAGGACATATCAGATAGGGATGAGTTCTGCGGAGAGAAGAGACACAGAGATGTCATGGAGAGTGACTGAGGAGTGTAGAATCAGAGTCAGGGAAGAGCTCTCCTGGGGATGAGATCTGAGTGATGAGAAGAAAACAGACAGTTGATATGGTTTGGCTTTGTGTCCCCATCCAAATCTCATCTCAAATTGTAATCCTCACGTGTAAAGGAGGGACCTGCTGGGAAGTGATTGGATCATGGGGGCGGTTTCCCCCATGATGTTCTTGTTCTAGTGAGTTCTCATGAGATCTGATGGTTTAAGTGTGTGATGGTTCACCCCCATCTCACTCTTTTTCTTCTGCTGCTATGTAAGATGTGCCTTGCTTCTTCTTTGTCTTCTATCATGACTGTAAGTTTCCTGAGGCCTCCCCAGGCATGTGGAACTGTGAGTCAATTAAACCTTTTTTCTTGATAAATTACCCAGTCTCAGGTAGTTCTTTTATAGCAGTGTGAAAACAGACTAATACACCAATGAAGATTGGTCAAAAGTAGGAAGCCAGGGTAGGAGACCAAGTTCAGGCAGAAGGCACACATACCCTTAGTCAGGTATGAATTTGGCTAACGGAGGACTGGAGTTTGGAGTTCAGCGAGCAAAGGAGAAAGGGGAAGTAAGAAACATGTAAGAGATACAGGCGAAGAAGGGCAGATCCTATGGGGCCCGAGGGCCAGGGAGAGGGGTTTTGTTTTTGTTCTCAATACAATGAGAGGTCACTGGAGGATTTGAAGCAGACAAATCCCATGCTCTCACTTAAATTTTGAAAAGATCATTCTGGATGTCATGGGAAGAACAGAAAGGGGCAAGAGTAAAAACAGGCAGATAAGCTGTCAAACCTGGATTTTCACAAGGCTGCTCCTGCAAGGCTGTGTAGGCTGCACACTGCCCAACTCCAGGGGTGCCTTGCACCTGAACAGCAGTAGGAACAGTACCCTCTGAGGCTGTGTGTAGTGGGCCGGGGGATTTTTGGTCCCTTATGAGGCTCAAAGATACCTTCTACCCTATGTTCTCATGTCAAAGGAGCAAAATAAAAATCCCTTTAATATCATTTTCTACACAAAAGTAAGACAGACTACAAACCATTATGTGCCAGACTTGATCATTATACCATGAAGTAAATATGAGAAATAATAAGATCAAAAATAATCTTTTAATTAACTCATGTCTATTGGAAAATATATTAATCTTATTTATTTATTTATTTATTTTGTAGAAACAGGGTCTTGCCATGTTGCCCAGGCTGGTCTCAAACTCCTGAGCTCAAGTGATCCTCCTGCCTTAGGCTCCCGAAGTGCTGAGGTTGCAGGCATGAACCACAATACCCAGACTAATCTTTTATTATCTGCCTCAGCACTAAAAAAAATCACAGATGATCAAAAAAGTATTTTTATAATAAATTACATTTGTTTTAAACTTGTACCTAATGGTGAGTACTCACAGACACAAGTTGCAGCTATTCAATGGTCATGTATTTTGGTTCATATCAATGTCCAAGATGAATCAGGAATGTTAAAAAAAAACCACTTTCTCATTACATATTTGTTGGGTATTTACTATATGCCAGGCACTGCTGGATCTTGGGCAAATGGACAGCCAATGTCTTTCCTGCCTTTATGGACTCTAGAGTCTAGTGGCCTGGACAGACATAAACAAGAAAAGACATACAAAGAAATAGGCAGTCAAAAATTGTAGTAAGTGCTATAATGGAAAAGAACAGAGGAAATAATGAAGTAGAAGGCTCATTTAGATCATGAGGGTCAGGGTAGGCCTACCTGATGAAGTCTCAAAAACGGCCAAGGACCATGGCTATTTGCACACTTCCACTGCTTCCCCACTTCATTCCCTTCTCCTGTTGCTCTTCGAACAAATACTTGCCCAGGGACTCACTGTCTTACCTCAGCATCCCTCCCTCCCAACCCATCCCCTCCAAGCTCAGCCCTACTCTCTGTGACCCTGAGAAGTCTGAGAGCTGGTATCTCTAATCAAGGACAAAACAGGAGCCAGTACAGCCCTGGGCCCCAGAGAGAGGGCAGCATGAAGCCCTTGGTCTGGTCCTCACACAGGCTCTCACTCCTGTTATGACCTTGGGCATCGCCTCCTCTTTGCAGAATTCTCAGTATCTCCCATCTATTGAGTAGAAGGAAGCACACAGTCCCTGGAGTTCCTAGATGAGCCCCCAGGGATTGACTCTGCTGCCCGGATGTCTTTGGAGAGTCTCAAGGAGGCTGGCAGAGCCCCAGGCCTGCCTGGGAGCAGATGGACAGAGAAAACCCTAGAGTGCCTCCACTTTCTATCATCACTATGACAACCCTTCCATGGGATCCTAATGTTGGGGTGATGCCTGACTTTTCTGGCCTAAAACTGAGAGTTAAACAGAAAGCAATCCTTCGGGGGGCAAGGAGATGTGCAAGGAAGGGTATGGCACCAGAACGACCTCAGTTTGTCTTAGCTCCTCACTTACCAGTTGGATGACCTTGAACATATTCCTGATTTCTCTGAGATGCAGTTTTGGCAAATAGAAATGCTTATCCCCCGTCACAGATTTGAAGTGAGAATGGCTTATAGATGCCAGCTTGCAAATGTTTCCCACTGAGACCAAGCAGGGGCTGCAGGGCTGTGGCTGCTGCAGAACTGAAGTGAGAGATAGCCTCAGCTTGGTGGATGGAAACCAAAATACCCTCACGTGTGAGAAAAGCAAAACAGTTTGTTTATTTATTTTGTGCCAGAATCTTCTGGTGCATGAGCCTACGGAAACGGCTCTGCAGAATTGGAAAGGATAGAAGTGTGTTTATCACTTTCTTGGGTAAACTTCATTTGCATTCCTACAGAGTGTTGATCGTACTGTTCCAAGAAATGAAGTTGTTTGGTGGGCTGGCTTCCCTCATCTCCAAAAGAAATCGTGTGTGTGTGTGTGTGTGTGTGTGTGTGTTTGTGTGTGTGTGTCTGTGTGTGTAGTAGGTACAGGATTTCTCTCTCTTGAGCATCTGCTACATGCCAGATACTTGTACTAGGTACTTTAAATACTGTGGCAGACACAATAGGTGGGCTCACTCAGTACCCAAGCAAGCACCTACTTCCTCCCTTGCCTTCCTCTTTTAGAGAGCCTGGAAATCTAAACACTCAACTTCCCAGAACTCTGTAGGTGGCCATGTGACATAGTTCTGCCCAATAATATGTAAGTGAAAGTTGGTAGAGAGGGCATCTCTTTCTAACTAAAAGAAAAAAAAAGTCAAGAAAAGAAAACCCTTTGTCTTCTTCCCACTTCTCTCTCCCTCCTGCCTGTAATGTGGATGTGATTCTTGGAGATGCAGCAGCTATGTTGCAACCATGAGGCAAGGCATGAGGTTTTGAGGATGCAGGAAGTCATCCACAGACTAAGGATGGAGGAGATAAATGCTAGAAAGAGTCTTAGCCCCTGATATTGTCTTCATTGGATACATAAGCAATATTATAAGACACAGCAGTATTTAAGTATCATTAGGAAAGATAAAATGCTATTAATTAAACTACAACTTGACATGTTTTTAAGACACAACCAGATTCCCAAGATGTTCAAATGTGAAAAAAAGTGGGTTTTAGAATCAATGAGAATTGCACAGGTATCTGAGCCCTGGAATATCTAACTTTGGACTTCTTATGTGAGAACAACAAACTCCTAATTTGTTTAGGTGTAGTTGTTGGGCTTTCTGTTACTTGCAGCAGAACACATTCCTAACACTGACTCCTCACAATCATTTCCTGAGGTGGGTATTAACATTTGAATTCTACCAATGAGGAAACTGAGGCACAGGACAATAGGCTTGCCCTAGCATATAATCACATAGCTGAGCCCACAGTGAGAACCTCCAACTTGAGTGTTCTTGGCCCCACACCTCATCTGCTCCATGGCTTTTCCTGTCTTGCATGTGACCTTCACAGTATGGCGATGAAGGGTGATGAGCAGCCACACCACTGCCCCATTCACCTGCTCAGGAAGACACTCCCCACAACTCACTGGGACATGAGATTGGCTCCTGGGAGCTGGGAGCCAGGACTTCAGAATTCAACAACCATTCTGGTATGAGGTTTCTTAGTCATTTGGGCAGTTTGCTTTCTTGATCCTGTTTTCTGCTTTCCTTCTCTCTGTACCCTTCCCCATCCCCCATTGAAGAAAAACACAGGAAATGAGAAAGATCAATTTACATGTGGAAGATGTGCATATTCATACTCTTCCTATAATCCTATAGACTTCCAGTTTGGGGCGCTGGAGAGGCCACAGATGAGTTAGGAATCCCTGGTCAAGAGCCTCTTGCCAAATTAGTCAGTCAATTTTCTTTTGCCCCTGGCCTTTGAGGACAGCCCTTTGGAGACCGAGGCATGAGGGCTTAGGACTCCTGATCAAAGGCCACAGACAGAGACAGTGTTTGTGTCTATAATTTAAGGAAATGTTCCCTTCAAACTCAGAGTTTTATTTCTTGCAGCAGAAGGAGGAGATGAAATTGTTAAAAGGTTGTTAGCGTTCAGTAAGAAAGAATGAGCTTTTCCAGATCTCTGTGTTTGGTAGAATAAATTGAGAGCAGTAGGGGCGTATTCGATGGGATATTAGTCAAGTTAATACATGAGAACATTACTTTTTTTAGTATGTGGTTTACAGAATCACTTGAAATGCCTAAGGAGAACACTGGGAAGAGAATTGTTCCTTTGAGACATGTAAAATGGGCCCTGTGCAAAACCAGGGTGAGCAGGGTGCAGCAGCTCTCCAAGGGGCTGGGAGTGTAGTGGGATTTTTTAAGGAATTAGAGAGACCGATGGGGTTGAGGAGGATATTTATTATTTAGGTGTACTGGCCAGTCAGAGGAGAGGCTGTGGCTTTGCTTAACATAGGACCCAGTGTGCTAGCATTTCTCTCAGGGCTGGACTGGGAGAATTGGGGTTGAATGGGGGGGTGCTGGCTTTGTGCCATTTCCTCTGTCTCCCATCAGATGCAGAAGCAAAGTGGAAAAGTCCTGTGGGTTTTTTTCTGCTCTGGTACGAGGAAACACATGCAAATGATCTTTTTATGAGAAAACCCATTGAGAACAGTTTCCCACCCACTGTCAAGGTCCACAGAGTCCAGCCTCCTGGCTGGAGAACTGACCTTTAAAACTCTTGTTTACATCTAACCACATCTTCAACTCCAGTCTGGCCTGGCATCCAAAACCAGAAAGTTCCCGTAAAAAAATGTTATTATGGCTCTGTGTACCTCACAGGAAGCCCTTAGATTGCAAACATATGTCCAAACTGCTGACTTGGAGTAAATGGATCAAATTACTCAGTGTGAGCAGGAGATTCTGATTTCTGTACCAGGCAGACTTGCTATCTGAATGTGTGCCAGGTTGAATGGAATCTCTGGCTTCAGATGGATTTGGGTTGAAAGAAGATTCTTTTGTAGATCAGCTCATATGGTGATTTCTTTCTTTTCTTCTTTCTGCAAATGTAATATCAATGAACATTTATCTTGACCCCATGTGGGGCTGTTGGCTTCTTCCCTCTTGTTCACCCGCAGGGCCGTTTTTGTCTTTGTTTCTAAGTCCATGCCACACAGCTCTGGGCTTCATGGCTCCACAGACTAGTGGATTGTGGTGTGGAGTTTTCTTTCAGTTAAACTTATAATTTTGAAACAATTGTAGACTCACATGCAGTTGTAAGAAATAATACAGAGAGATTTCACATACCCTTTACCCAGTTTCCCTCAATGGTAATGTCTTATAAAACTATAGTACAGTACCACAACCAGTATATGGACATTGACGCATTCAAGATAGAGAATATTTCCATCACTCTTGCCCTTTTATAGCCACACCCACTTCCCTTCTTCCTACAAGCCCCCTTCTTTACCCTTGGCAACCACAAATCTGTTTTCCATTTTTATAATTTTGTCATTTCGAGAAAGCCATATAAATGGAATCATGCAGTATGTAACCTTTTGTGATTAACTTTATTTGTTTCACTCAGCATAATTCTCTGGAGATTCAAGAAGTTGTTGCATATATCAACAGTATTTCAGTGTATGGCTGTACCATAGATTGTTTAACCATTCACTCATTGAAGGACATCAGGTCTGTCTCCAGTTTTTGGCTTTTATGCATATAGGTGCTATGAACAATTGTGTGCAGGCTTTTTTGGTTTGTTTGTCTGTTTGCTTGAGACAGGGTTTTGCTCTGTCACCTAAGCTTAAGTGCAGTGGCAACATCATGGTTCACTGCAGCCTCGACCTCCTGGGCTCAAGTGATCCTCCCACCTCAGCCTCCTGAGTAGCCGGGACTACTGGCATGCACCACAACAGTTGGTTAATTTAAGAAAAAATTTTTTTTGGTAGAGATGGGGATCTCACTATGTTGTCCAGGCTGGCCTTGAATCCTGAGCTCAAACAATCCTCCCACCTCAGTCTCCCAAAGTGCTGGAATTACAGGTGTGAGCCACCATGCCTGGGCCCATGTACAGGTTTTTGTGTAAACATAAGTTTTCATTTCTCTGGGATAAGTGTCCAGGAGTACAATTGATGGGTCATATGGTAGCTGCACATTTAATTTTTAGACAGTGGCTATACCATTTCAATTTTCATTAGCAATGCATGAGAGATCCAGTTTCTCTGTGTCCTCAGCTGCATTCATTGGCACTACCTTTCATTTTAGTCACTCTGATAAGTGTGTACGACATCTTAATGGTTTAAATTTACATTCCCCTAATCGCTAGTGATGTTGAATGTCTTTTTGTGTTCTTATTTGCCATCTGTATAGCCTTTTTGGTGAAACATTTGTTCATATCTTTTGTCTATTTTCTAATTTTTTTAACTGTTGAGTTTTAAGAATTCTTATATATTACAAATACTCATTCTTTGTCAGATATGTGGTTTACAAGTAACTTCTTCCGTTTGTGGGTTGTTTTTCATCCTCTTGACAGGTTTTTTCATGGAGCAAAAGTTCTAAATTTTGATGAAGTCCAATTTATCAATTTTTTTTTTTTTTTTTTACTGAGTCTTGCTCTGTCGTCCAGGCTGAAGTGCAGTGGTGCGATCTCAGCTCACTGCAAGTTCTGTCTCCCAGGTTCACACCATTCTCCTGCCTCAGCCTCCCGAGTAGCTGGGACTACAGGTGCCTGCCACCACGCCCAGTTAATTTTTTGTATTTTTAGTAGAGACGGGGTTTCACCATGTTAGCCAGGATGGTCTCGATCTCCTGACCTCGTGATCCGCCCTCCTCAGCCTCCCAAAGTGCTGGGATTACAGGCTTGAGCCACTGCGGCCGGCCAAATTTTTTCTTTTATGGATCATACTTTTGATGTCAAGTCTAACAACTCTTTGCCTAACCTTATATGATGAAGATTTTCTCCTGTGTTTTTTTCTAGAAGTTTTATAGTTGTACATAAGTCCATGATACATTTTGAGTTAATTTTTCTGTACCAAATAGTAGATAGGGCAAGGTATTTTTTGCCCTGTAAATGTCCAATTCCTCTAGTACCATTTGTTAAAAAGGTTCTCTTTTCTCCATCGAATTACTTCTGCACCTTTTCTAAAAATCACTCATGCGTATTTGTGCAAGTCTATTTCTGGGTTCTTTATTCTGTTCCAATGAGCTATGTGTCTATCCTTCCATCAATACTATCCAGTCTTGGTCACTGTAACTATATATTTCAAAATAATAAGTCTTGAAATTGAGCAGACTAATTCCACTCACTTTATTCCTCTATTTCAAATTTGTTTTAGCTATTCTAGTTCCTTTGCCTTGCCATGTAAATTTTAAAATATACTATATATATTATATATATATATATATAAACCTTGCTCAGATTTTGATAGAGATTGTGTTAAACCTGTATATACATTTGAGGAACAATGAACATCTTTCCTCTGTTGAGTCTTTTAAACCACAAACACAGTGGATCTCTAAATTATTTAGATCTTTGATTCTTCCAATAGTGTTTTGTAGCTGTTAGCATGCAAGTCAGCTATGGGCTGAATGTTTGTGTCCCCTCAAAATTCATATGTGTTGGTATCCCCAATGTGGTGGCATTAAGAACTGATTAGGTGATGAGGGCAGCACCTTAATTAATGGTATTAGGGCTATCATCATATGATTTTTTTTCCCTTTCACCTTCTTTAGGCCAAACAATATACTATTCAGAATGCATCAGGCTGCAAATAATGGATTAAATCAGATTAAAATTTGATTATATTAAAAGAAATGATTTTTTTTTTGCCCTGCAAGACACCTGGAGGTAAGTAGTTAAAGGCTGGCTAATTCAGCATCTCAGGAATGTCAGGGCTGTGGGTGTTCTCTGTGTCTCTGGGCTTTCCCCTCATGGTTGCAAGGCAGCCGCGGAGGCCCCAAGTTCCCCTAGTGGGGGATGTGCTTTTATTTTAATCACAAGAAAAGGTTTTCTCAGAATCCCAACAGGCTTTTATGTCTTGTTGGCCAAAATAGGCCCATGTCCAAGCCTAAAGCAATCCGGCCAGGGGAATGGAATCCCGTGGAGAGTTTAATCCAGGATTTCACATTAGGGGTGCTGCTGGTGTTTTAGATGACAATTTACTGTTGTGCAGGATTCTCCTGCTCACTGCAGGAGAACCCGTGATTCTCACCTATTTAGCGCCAGTGGAGTTTTCTAGTCACTGTGACAACTTCTTTCAAACTTCCCTTGGGGGCAATACCACTTCCCATCGACAGCCATTGGTTTAAACAAATTTTGATTCATTCCAATGTCAGCCGGTGGAATGACCAAGCTGTGACTGGTTCAGTTGAACACTATATATCAAGTTCCCAATTATCTGCTTTTATTTTTCATCTCTCAGCAATAGCTAATATTTATTTTGTGTTTATTATGAGTTACAGTACGCTAATGATTTGCATCCTTTATAATTTTAATCTTTATAACAACTTTATGAGATAGGTACTGTCATTGTCCCC
This sequence comes from Homo sapiens, assembly GCF_000001405.40. Taxonomy (NCBI): domain Eukaryota; kingdom Metazoa; phylum Chordata; class Mammalia; order Primates; family Hominidae; genus Homo; species Homo sapiens. The sequence goes on along the minus strand of NC_000012.12, from coordinate 30,905,193 downwards.
ATTTTACAGATTAGGAAATTGAGGCCTAGGAAGATTAAGGATGTCGCCCATACACTGATTCCAGAGTCAGCATGATTAGCTGCTACACCGCACCATTTCCCCAGTAAAATAAGCCTTTGTTGTCTTTTATCATTATTATTATTATTATTAAGATGGAGTCTCACTCTGTCTCCAGGGCTGGAGTGCAGTGGTGCAATCTTGGCCCCTGCAACCTCCGCCTATTGGGTTCAAGAGATTCTCCTACCTCAGCCTCCTGAGTAGCTGGGACTAGAGGTGCCCACCACCACGCCTGGCTAATTTTTGTATTTTTTTTAGTAGACGGAGTTTTGCCATGTTGGCCAGGCTGGCCCTGAAATCCTGGGATTCAAGCAATTTGCCTGCCTCAGCCTCCCAAAGTGCTGGGGACAACGCCCAGCCCGTTGTCTTTTACTGTCATTTATTCTGGATGGTAGTAAGACATTCTCCAAAAGCCGGGTAATTTCTCCTAGACTGTACCCACAATTTCAGTTCCTTCCTACTAGCTGGAGGAATTAGAGAGGGAAGATGAATACATTTATGCCAGTTCTGTGTGACAGAGAAGGGGTAAGAGATGAAAAGCATGATTCAGCCATATTATTTTGCTTTTTCTAAAAGGAAAACTTCTTATTAGATCAACAGTTAAACTATTAGGCTGTATCTTCCTTGTAACCTAGGCTTTACAGTTCTTAAGAAAATATATAATTAGGGCAAAATCAAAATATGGCAATGGGTATAAATTGTCTCACTCAAGTACTGTTTTCAATTATCCTTCTCTAAGCTTTGGCTTTCTTTACTCTTTTGCATTTTCTAAGTGATTTCAGGCATTTTAAAACTCTTTTGTTTTAAACCCAACCAGCCAAACCAAGTTGTTTTGAACCCAAACCAACCCCTGGCAGCTTAGATATAGACATATTCTTCAGGAGGCAATTCTCTGGGCATTTCTATTTTGCCTGTATTTAGAGTTATTTGTGATCAACTTTTCCATTCTTTTGTCTGCTTGTCAATCCATTCACCTATCTATCTATCTATCTATCTATCTATCTATCTATCTATCTATCTGTCATCTATCTATTTATCTATCTGTCCATCCATCCATGCATTCACTCAGCCATTCTTTCATTCAACAGTGATTTGCTGAATTCCTACTTACTCTGACCCAACTATGTTTTACATGCCACCCAATGTTCAGCAAAGACTTTTACTTAAGAGCTAGTTTTAAGTTTGACTGCTTGTCTCTTGTCCTTTAACTTTTACTTTTGTGGACCAGTACAGAAAGATCTGTAGAAAAAAATCTTGCTACCAAGTCATGGGACTCTCTGGCCTATGGCAATGTCTGACTGTCTTTGTATCATCAGACTGAGAAATGGTTTCAACACGGTGCATGTTTAATAATGCTCACGGAACAAAACTGTGTTGTTCCTCTTCCAGAAAGTGCTATCATCCTCTCTTTTGATTCAGAACAGGTTTACCTAGGTGACTACATCACTAACATTGTATTCCTCTGATTTTTTTCTCCCAATAGGACAGATTTGATTGAAAAGTAAAAAATTATTCCTTACATTATGTTGTTCCCCTAAGATGGTTTTCATTCCAAATGAAATTATCCTGGTCCTTCAACATCCACTTCAAATATCAATAAACCAGTGGCCTTTCCCCAGCCTCCTAAAGTCTTTATATGGAATTAGTTATTCTTTCTGGTGTTTCTCATGTCATTCTCTCCATTCTGTTGTCCGCCTGTTTGTCCATGAATCCATCCATCCATCCATCCATCCATCCATCCATCCATCCATCCATCCAGTCTTCTTTCATTTAACAGTGATTTAGTGAATACCTACTTACTATGAACCTACTATGTTTTACATGACACAATGTTCGGCAAAGAGTTTATATATGGCTTATCTAATTTCTTGATTATGTGTTTTTTTTTTCTCCAATAGGTCATGAGGCCTTCAAGCAAAAGCAGAAAATCATCTTATTGCTCTTTTTGCATCCCAAGTGGCTGACACAGAGGAAGGTATTCAATCAGTGTTCATGGAATTATGTCACTCATGCAGTAGGGCCTGCCTTCTCTTCGAGCTTTCTTAAACAGGCATTGCTTTTCCCCTTTTAAGCTTCATAGCACATTTTAAAAGCACAGAGTGACAGTAACTTTATCATGGTATGAAAGAAAATGCAAAAAGAAAAAAAATACACCAGGGTAGACTTTATTTGAATAATCAGAGAGTGTTCCCATCATAATTACAGTAACATGGGTTAATGTATCCCAACCGTAGAGAGGAATTTGATTTCCTCATTATGTGTGTAATCTTTATCATACTCTCAGTATTTGTTTCTTTTTCGTATTCCACATGTGGCTCTGATGTCTTCCTGCTTTCTAGATGGGAAAACTGAACCTTGGAATGGGTCACTGGCTTGAGCCATCTCACATAGCAAGTCAGAAACAGATGTGGAGATAAAATAAGCATTTTGAAATTTTAATAGTTTCAATCAAGTCAAGATATCATCACCAGCATATCATATTTGCTGCGCATTGAGCCCTTATTATGTACCATGAACTTTACGTGCATTATTTTTTCTGCCTAATCCTTATTTTGAAAACGTTTAAAACCTGCAAAAATTTGGAATAATATGCAATGAAACATCTAGTTTTATTAATTGCTCCCTCTCTGTAGTCAGGAAAGTTAACATTAAAACAATTCCATTATCTATTATATAATCTTTGTTCAAATTTCCCCTATTTCTCAATAATTCCTGCCTGCTTGCCTTCCTCCCTCCCTTCCTTCCTTCCTCTCTTCTTTTTCTCAATTTAGGATCTAACCAAGGATCACGCATTGCATTTACTTTTCCTGTTTCTTTAATCTCCTTTAATTAGAGTAGTTTCTCAGCCTCCCCTTTGTGCATTCCCTTTTCATGACATTGATAGTTTTGAAGAGCCTAAACAGTAGTCTGGAGTGATACTTTGAGGTCATGTGACTAACCCCGTAAGTATTTTGTCTAGTGGTTTTAGCTTCCACTGATGATAATTGTGCATTATTGTTTAAACTCTCACAATAACCCTGGGAGGCAAGCATTATTTTTATCCATATATTTACATGAGAAGACCGAGTCTTAGAGAGATGAAGAGACCTGCTCAAAGTCCCACAGCTA